>NC_000016.10:33264595-33392411 GCF_000001405.40 Homo sapiens
GATCAGAGTATTATCTGCCACAGCTATCTGAACATAGTTGAGGTCAGAATTTCCTCCTTTAGAGAATACACCAATGTATTTTTTTCTTGGAACAGAAACTGGCACAGCTATAATGTTTTTCCAGGTAAAATGCTAGAATGTTTATCGTGCCATTAGATCATTCTAAAAATAATGTTATTCTCTCAATGGACCCAACCAAAAATTACTTGTTTTTTAATACTACTTAACAATATGCTACAAAGAGTTAACATATATCTCACTTTGTTACCAGTTCTTGCTGAAGTATCCGTATGTCTGTACCCCTATGGTCTGGGTCAGCTTATTTTAGGCAGTCCCAATCTTATGTTTTAAATATTAGGCTACTATATATGTGTGTGTGTGTATTTATATAGAATACATATATAGACTATATATAGAATTATATATAGAATATATAGAGAGAATATGTAGAGAATACATAGAGAATATATAGAGAGAAGACATAGAAAATATATATAGAATATATAGAGAATAAATATATAGAATATATAGAGAATATATATATATATAGAATATATATAGAGAATATATAGGATACACATAGAGAGAATATATATATAGGATATATAGAGTATATATATATATGGAATATATATATACACACACATTATATATATTTCCTAATTAAGTCCTTCAAGAAATAAGTGATTAAACTTTTTAATAATGATAGTATCAATTGGACATGATAAAAAATAATATTATTAATAAACTCTTTGATTTTTAAAATAACCTTGAGCCCATTTTTTGTAGGCATAGAGGGGCTTAGAGATAAGAATTTCAGTATCCATCAGGGATTTGGCAGTATACACCAATAACAAATAGTAGAAGGAAAACAGTTATATCTATTTTGTTAATGTGTAATAATATTCTTTATTTTAGAAAAATAAAATTATACATAGTATAACCATATGCAATATATAATATGTAAACATATATATAACTGTACAAGTCAATATCATAAACTATAACTGTACAAATTAAAATCATCACATTTATAAGCAACTAAAATACGCAAAGTATTTCCTAAGTAGAGGAAACAATCCGCTTTCACCTAGGTTCACCTAAACAAAGATCTGGTAAATCATGTGGTATGTAAAAGGGTCATTTCACAGGTGGTGAAAGCCATTTGAAATTTCACTACCTTCCCCAAATTACAATCATATGTCAACTTAGAATTAATAAAAATATTTAAATTCATTAGTCACAAAGATGTCTTAAGTGCATGCTATATTCCAAGTCCTGTACGAGGTCTTTAGGATTATAAGAAGGTGTAAGACTCAATTTTTGTCCTCATAATGCTTATTACTTAACCAAGAATATAATATATTAATTAACTCATTCATTTGTATGTTTATTCATTACATTTTATTACACTTAAAAAATACCATAGTTTTCAGCCATGCGAATACCCTTGTTTGCCTGACAGAATAGTGAAATATAAACACAACTGAACCGTTAAAATACAACATTATGAAAGTAGCTGGAAGGAACTGCACGTGCCAAGTGTGAGGAAAAATAAGACAAGTAGTAGATATTCTGGATATAGAGAAGTCCATTTGGACTCAGACACTAGGGAAAAACTAAAGGAGAAGTTATAACTTGAGGTAGCCTTGGATGTATTGAGGTAAGAAGAGGACATCTATGGTATGGTTAATGAGAACTTCAGGGCAAACGATGTCATCCTAGCAAGGAAAACGGCAAAGGTACGTGAACAAGGCAGACAGGGAGAACGGACCTCTATTTACAAAGCAGAGAGTACAAACGGTGGAAAGCAATGGATAGAGGGCCACATCCTGAAGATTCCACCGTGAATGTTGAAGACTCTCCACTGAGTGGTATAATGGGCTCTGGAGATTCGTAAGGGGGAAGTTGGCAGGCGGGTGAGGGATTAAAAAAGCTACATGTTTGGTACAATGTACACTACTCAGGTGACAGGTGCAATAAAATCTCAGACTTCACCACTATACAAATTATCCACGTTACTTAAACCACTTGTGTTCCAAAAGCTATTGAAATAAGACATTTAAAAAGTTAAAACAAAACACTATCATCTGAGTAATTTGTTTGCTTACATTAAATATCATAATACTTTTCAGCAAAAAAATATTTTAATGTAACTTTCATTCCCTATATTTGAGCAGAGTACTGCACTATCCATAAACACCCTCTGAATTTTCTACAGTAATGGAAAAAATCTTTGAAAAACATAAAAGAAGGTTCTATGTTTGAGAATATGGCTATATGAAAGGGGTTTCAAGAAATATCCAGTTCTTCCCAAGACGATGTACTTCCAGTGACCAGTTTTAAGAAGTGGAACAGGCCGGCAGCCGTGGCTCACGCCCGTAATCCCAGCACTTTGGGAGGCCGAGACGGGCAGGTCACGAGGTCAGGAGATCGAGACCATCCTGGCTAACATGGTGAAACCCCATCTCTACTAAAAATACAAAAACTTAGCCGGGCGTGGTGGCAGGCGCCTGTAGTCCCAGCTACTCGGGAGGCTGAGACAGGAGAATGGTGTGAACCCAGGAGGCGGAGCTTGCAGTGAGCCGAGATCGCGTCACTGCACTCCAGCCTGGGTGACAGAGTGAGACTCTGTCTCAAAAGAAAAAAAGTGGATTGAACATTTCCTAACTAGGTCCTTCAAGTAATAATAAGTGATTAAACTTTTTGATAATCATAATATCAATTGGACATGATAAAAATAATATTAATAAATCTTTCGATTTAAAAAATAACTTTGAACCCACTTCTTTTTGTAGGCATGGGGGGAGCTTAGAGTTAACTATTCCAGTTTCCGTTAGGGATTTGGCAGTATACATCAATAACAAATAGTAGAAGGAAAATAATTATACCTGTGTCTCATATATATATATATATATATATATATATATATATATGTGTATATATATATATATATATATAGAGAGAGAGAGAGAGAGAGAGAGAGAGAAACCGTTTCTTAAATTATCTGTAGCACTGCTATGTTATTCTTTACTCTCCCAATACCCCAAGTAGATTGCATATGTGGCTCTTTTATTAATGTGTTGAATATTCATAATGATAATGAATAATATGAATAAATAAATCGATAAGTGCATAACTATGATTTAGGCATTGCTTTACTCTATCTGGAGATTTCCATTCATAATAAACATCTTTTAGTGACCGTGAGTAAGAAACTCATAGAACTTCATTAGAGAAATGCAAATCTAAACCACAATGAGATACCATCTCACTCCAGTTAGAATGACAATCCTTAAAAAGTCAGGGAACAACAGATGCTGGAGAGGTTGTGGTAAAATAGGAATGCTTTTACACTGCTGGTGAGAGTGTAAATTAGTTCAACCATTGTATGGAAGACAGTGTGGCAATTCCTCAAGGATCTAGAACTAGAAATAGCATTTGACCCAGCAATCCCATTACTGGGCATATACCCAAAGGATTATAAATCATTCTACACATTCTCACGTATGTTTATTGTGGCACTATTCACAATAGCAAAGACTTGGAACCAACCCAAATGCCCATCAGTGATAGACTGGACTAAGAAAATGTGGCACATATACAACATGCAATACTATGCAGCCATAAAAAGGATGAGTTCATGTCCTTTGCAGGGACATGGATGAAGCTGGAAACCATCATTTTCAGCAAACTATCACAAGATCAGAAAATTAAAGTCTGCATGTTCTCACTCATAATTGGGAGTTGAACAATGAGAACACATGGACACAGGGAGGGGATCATCACACACTGGGGCCTGTGGGGGGTGGGGGGTGGGGGGTAGGGGAGGGATAACATTAGGAGAAATACCTAATGTAGGTGTCGGGTTGATGGGTGCAGCAAACCACCATGGCACGTGTATACCTATGTAACAAAACTGCAAGTTCTGCACATGTAACCCAGAGCTTAAAGAATAATTTAAATAAATAAATAATAAATAAATAAATAAACTCATAGACCTCAAAGTATGGGAAGCCTAACTGCCTACGGCCACTTGCTGCTTCACTCTAAAATCTGTTTCTGCATCTGCCCCTCAGTCAATGACTGAGGGCCACAAGGTGGCTAATGCACATCCCTCTTTAGGAGACACAGGGCTTCTCTGAGGACCAGTCTTGGCTCAGGATTCCTGAAGCCTTTTCGTACCCTTCCTTAGACTGCACATTACGCTCCAATGCTTCCACTCAACCTTCCTTTCCTCTTTCCTTCATTCTAGGTCAGACTTGCCTCATAGTTGAGAGCTCTTCCAGGCTTACTCAGCTTCCTCTCCATTTTCTCTCACAGGGATTTCCCTTAATAAAATCCTCTTGTGTATAACTCGTTTTCAACATCTACCTCTTGGAGGACCTGGACTAACCCACCATATAATATCTGTATTATAATTACTTCCATTCTACAGGTTGAGAATCTGGGATCTGGAGAAGTTAAGTAACATAAGTTACTCAAGTAAGGCCACACAGTGTATATAAAGTGTGCTGCAAGGAGTTAAACCCAGGGAAAGCGCACTCCAAAATAGAACCATCAATAAGTGTCAATCCTGAAACCAACTAATAAAAGGTAAAGATACAATTAGCTTGGTGCAAAAATGTTATTTTTTTCTCTAATTACATTTTCTAAGGCTTCACTGGTTGTAGTTAAGAAGGGATGAATGATTTTCATCAAAACTCTCCTCAACAAGCTGGGTTTGGTGGCATGCACCTGTAGTCCCAGCTACTCAGGAAGCAGAGGCAGGGCGATCATGTGAGCCCAGGAGATTAAGGCTGCAGTGAGCTGTGATTACATCTCATTGACCATGTGACTATGAGTATAAAACTCATAGACCTCAAGCCTGGGCAACAGAGCAAGACTCTGCCTTAAAAAGTAAAACTAAGCAAAACAAAACAATCCTCCTCAACAAATGGTTGCATATAACCAGCTAAACAGTAATATAACAGTTGTTGGCAGGGTGAGAAGAAACTAGCAGACTGTAGGTTTGTCATACTGTTTTTCTGTTCCTGCAGAAACACAGATATAATATAGGCAATGAAAACTGAGACTCATCTCTTAATTTCAGTTAAGCTATTAATTGATTTACATCATTTACTTACAGGCCAGAAAAGTTTCTTTCAAAAGGCAGGAATGTTGTTTCATGTTAATCTAAGGACTTGCTTACCTTTTGTTTCTGTTCTTAATGATCACAGTTACTAATACAGTAAAATAATATTTAGATAAAATACATTAGAATTATAGCTGATCAAAAATCTCATTCCAAGCTGTTATATTGTTGACTATCTCACAATCACTCTTCTTATGAATCATGTAAATAAGGGAAAATACTGCAAAGTAGACACACATTACTTCAAATGAAATATGATTTAATAAAATCAGTTATTCTTTGCCAATTTTGTAATGTTCAAAATAACCACAATTGAAATAGTGACACATACACATCAGAACAGTTCAAATGAAAAAGAGAAATGATACCAAGTGTTGGCAAAGATGTGGAGCAACTGGAACTCTCTCCCATTGTGGATGAAAATGTAAACTGACGGACACCACCATTTCCCATGTGTGCTAAATCTAACCATATTCTATGACCCTGAGCATATACGCAGCAATATTTACCAAAAGACAAATACATGAATGCTCAGAGAAGCACCGTTCAAAATAACCACGAATTGAACATTATATTTGTATAATGGTATAGTATATAGCAATGAGAACTAACAAGTTACAACTATATGCAAAAAGATTGACAAATCTTATAAACTAAATATTGAATGAAAGAAGCAAGATACAGAACATATTCTATGATCTAATCCACTAAAAATTGTAAAACTAATCAGTTATGTTCCAAATCACCATAGGAGCTACCCTATGAAATAGTGTCTAGAAGAAGTAATAATATAAAATTTCATGATTTGAGTACTGGATACGCAGAAGGGCTAAGTTTGTTTAAAAACAAAAAAAGTATTGGGCTGTACAGTTAAGATTTGGGTATTTTACTGTTTGTACGTATTTTCAGCCTTAGAAAATTATGTTAAAAAGTCTTTATGCTCTTTTTCTTAATATATTTACCATAGACAAATTTTCATTAAGCCACAGTATAAATAAAAAAGACCCACACCAGTATTTTTAACATGACGTGGATGAAGTGGTTCTGTCATCATTAAATGAGTACTTTCGGATCCAAGTCTGACATAAAAACTTACTTCCCTGAAGACTTTAATTTTGCATGCAAAATACACTGTTTCTAAATTAAATTTTTTTGTAACAAAGAGTTTTTGAGTTCCCCTCATGAAATTTTAATAAATCATTAATTTCTTCTTTTTCTCTTTAATGCACAAGCAATGGATAAAACATTTCAAAGATCCCTACAGATGTTTCTTCACTTGAAATATTGTTCACATTACAATGAGAAGGATGGAATAAAACATAAAAAAGATAGGCAGTTTTGTTTTGTTTTGTTTTGTTTTGTTTTTAAGATGGAGTCTTGCTCTGTCGCCCAGCCCGGAGTGCAGTGGCGCGATCTCGGCTCACTGCAAGCTCCGCCTCCCGGGTTCAAGCTATTCTCTTGCCTCAGCCTCCAAAGTAGCTGGGACTACAGGCGTCTGCCACCACGCCCAGCTAAGTTTCTGTATTTTTAGTGGAGACGAGGTTTCACCGTGTTAGCCAGGATGATCTCGATCTTCTGACCTTGTGATCCGCCTGCCTTGGTCTCCCAAAGTGCTGGGATTACAGGCGTGAGCCACCGCGCCCAGCCAACAGGCAAATTTTTCGTTGGGGAAGTAGTAGACCAACCATCTGTGCTTATTTCTTCTAAACAGAGCTAAGAATGAGTGACAGCAGTTGAACGGGAATACTTGCTCCCCAAGCGCGACTTGTTTTTCATGAACAAGGAAAAAAGGCAAAAGCCCTGCTACATTTCCATTCACAAAATTGTTTTCAAATGATGATTAACAAGATCTTAGTTCCCTCTCTGTTGAACACATAACATATTAAAAGGCAGTGCTAATAAATCTATATACGGCACGTAAGGAGGAAGGAGGAAGTCATTTCTCCTGACCTGACCAACTTGTCTTATTTGAAACTGATACCAGGCCCTATTGGCTGACAGGAATTTCACTTTATTTGGAATACAACAGAATTTGGCTCAGATTCACACTAAAAGTATAGTATTTTGATGTCATTAACATTACTTTAATAAAGGTATTATCATGCTTTGTACAGCAACCAACACGAAAATGTTAACATACCACTGCAATAAATAGAATAAAAACATGTTCAGAAAGACTTAGAAACTCATTAAAGAATGGATATTAATCACTTTTCACCCTAACTCCTCATTTGGCGAGGTATGAATCTATGCATTCCAGTTTAGTCAGGTGGCAAGTAAGTAGTCCCATTGCATTTCATAAAATAAGCTGCTGTGTGAATTTGAAAGATAATATTTCCACATGAAAAACTAATGACTGCACATGTAAAATCAGTAGTGTTTAGGAAGCTGTCATTAAAAAAAAAAAAAACTACCTAATTAAAAAGTAGCACAAATAAACTTTTGCCTATGTAAAAAAATAGAACATTGCTTAGCCTTTTCTTAAATCTCTCCCCAATTCTTACCAAGAAAGGATAAATACCTTTATTATAGTCAAAGCTCTGTTTTTATGGTTTTAAATTTTTTAATCTAAAATTCAAAGCAAATAATAAATCCTTAATTTATAATTATCCCAATTGGATTCAAAGTGATGGTCCAAACATAAAATGATCAGTCATAACTATAATCAATCAGATAATGCTATATGAGTTTGAAATGTTAATCTAACTTGCCTTTTCCAGGTATGCATTTTAAGATTAAACTCTTCTCAGTAAGATCAACGCTATCCTTCATGGATTTATGATGTTTGATAATCACCACGTTGTACTGATTTGCTGTCTCACTTCACTGTTTGATATCAACATATGAAAGTAAAAATGCTATTGAGGGGATAACTATTATCTGAGCACTAATAAATTAAATGCTATTTTAAGCCAACAACAAAATTGTGTAGGGTACAATTTTTATTTAACCAACTTTCCATTATAAACATTATAAAATTCTGAAAGATCCTAGAATCTTATATAGCTATTTTGTATTTTTTTCAAATGTAATTGACACCAGCAAGAATTAAATTTCATATTTAAAAAGCTTCTGACTACATTACAACATACTTAAAAATGACTTGCAAGATATGATAATTCTAAGATTACCAACATATCATGCAAATGAAACACCCAGGTACTTCCTACCAACACATGATATAATAAAATCCAGAAGAACTTCTGAATTAGAGTGTAGTAGTTGCCTAGGACCATCATACCTAATTATCACACACTTGGTGGGTTAAGAGGACAGAAATATATTCTCTCATAGTTCTGAAGCCTGGACCTCTGAAACTAAGATGTTGGTGGGGCCATACTCCCTCTGAAGACCCTAGGGAGGAATTCTCCCTCGCTTCTTCCTGGCTTCCAGTGGCTCCTGGCAATCCTTGGCCTTCTTTGATTTATGACTGCATAACTCCAATTTCTGTCTCCATCTTCACATGACCTTCTCTGCGTGTGTCTTTTCTTGTATCTTATAAGGACATTTACATTGGATTTAGGGCCCACCTTCATCCAGGATGACCTCATCTCAATCATTGGGTTAATTATATCTGCAAAGACCCTACTTCCAAATAAAGTCGCATTCTAAAGTTACTAGTGGACATAAATTTTGGAGGTACGGTATTTAAATCACTACACAGAACATGTAAAGACAAAAATCTGGAAGCTACCTAAATGAAAATGGATATTCCCTTGAACTTCGACAAAATCATACTCTATTTTTCCGTGAGAAACATTCTATTACTATAAAACAATATTCATATTTCACAAGTACACCTCTTAAATTATAGCTTGGCCTTAAGAGAAATAATTAGCTTTGAAAATTATCAGTACGTGATATCTAATATTTCCTGTATTTTTGATAACTTCTACCTCCTAGCAAAAATAAACAATGCAATGGACAATTTCTGTGTTCTAAATTCACACACACAAACAGGAAAGGCACTTTAAAAAATGATTTGTTCTCTTTGAAAGCAGAAGTCCAACCACCTGCTCTGAATCTAAAAGTTTCCTGAAAGCAATGAAGGGCTAGTTTATTATGAAGTTGTTGATAGCTGATTCTGTGGAGACTCACAAAGAAACAAAGAATAAATTTTAATCACACTGAATGCTAATGTGATAGTAAGGTTGTGATGATATTCAAATATGACTAATTTCATTAAATTAACTACACTCAGGCTTAGCTTTGTTGTCCAAATTTATTACAAATAGCTCAAAATAAATAATTCAACTCTTCTGTTTTCTATTTATTTTTGTTGATGCTTAAGAGTAAAAAGGTATTTCAACTGAATTTTTTTTTTTTTTAGCAATCAGTTCTCTTGTTTTATCACCATAAGACTGTAAACGGCCGAACAGGTCACTGCCTTCAACAAGAAATGCACCTAGAGCAGGAATATAGTACTTGGCACTCATCTCTAGACCTATAACCTAATAGATTTTTTTTTTTTTGTCTTTGGTGACAGTAACGTAAATTTAGAGCTGGAAAGGACCTTAGAGGTCATCTAGTCCCACTCAAGTATCTTTTAAAACAAAATAAAGAAGTATGTTGGCCTGGTGCGGTGGCTCACACCTGTAATCCCAGCACTTTGGGAGGCCAAGGCAGGCAGATCACAAGGTCAGGAGATCGAGACCATCCTGGATAACACGGTGAAACCCCCTCTCTACTAAAAATACAAAAAATTAGCCGGACATGGTGGCAGGTGCCTGTAGTCCCAGCTACTCAGGAGGCTGAGGCAGGAGAATGGAGTGAACCCGGGAGGTGGAGCTTGCAGTGAGCCGAGATCCTGCCACTGCACTCCAGTCTGGGCAACAGAGGGAGACTCCGTCTTAAAAAAAAAGAAAAAAAAAAAAGAAGCATGTTTATTTCATCATTTTGTACTTATACACTGTGTGTTTCCAGAAAAGCCTCTGAGACAGCTTAGAATGAAAGGCACAGACGCTATAAAACAAGGGCAAAATGACAGAATAATGAAGAGAAGGAGGTGACAATTACATGGGACAACCTAGGGAAGGAAACACTACCCTTCAGCCTAAAATTTAGTCCTAAGCCTCTTGTTCTTTAGGGCCAAAAGGAAAACCAGAATTCAAATAGGTGTCGTTAGTTAATAAAATAGTATCTGCATATGTCAGCAGCTATTTTTTGGTAACTCTAAACTCTTAAGCAAAATATATAAGTCTTTAAGCAACAGACAATGGACAATACAATAAAAATAATCTTCAATAGTAATTTCAAAACTTTTAAAGATGTAAGTACAAATGACCTTTTCTTACAGGATGCTTTTGAAAGCTGCCCGCATGATGGTATTTTAAATTACATGATGTTACATTGCCTCCATGATGGTATTTTATTGGGACCTGGTTATATGACTTGGTGAAGAATGTAACCTTTGAGAACTTAGAAGAGTGAATGGTTAATATTTCTCTGAATTTTTTTGTTTTTAATTGACATTTTATTTTATCCCTCATAGACAATATATGTTCTGGGAAATATACTGAAGTATAGTAAAAAAGAATCTCAGGGTTAAAGTGTTGAGGTAAATGAGAAAGCAGAGGTTGTGTCTGAAGAACCGTGTGGTCGGTCGCACTGCACCACACAGCAAACAAATATGCGTGAGCACAGGCCGGGCGCGGTGGCTCACGCCTGTAATCCCAGAACTTTGGGAGGCCGAGGAGGGCGGATCACGAGGTCAGGAGATCCAGACCATCCTGGCCAACAATGGTGAAACCCCGTCTCTGTTAAAAATACAAAAAATTAGCCAGGCGCAGTGGCGGGCGCCTGTAGTCCCAGCTACTCGGAAGGCTGCCGCAGGAGAATGGCGTGAACCCGGGAGGCGGAGCTTGCAGCGAGCCGAGATAGTGCCACTGCACTGTACTCAGGCCTGGGCGAAAGAGCGAGACTCTGTCTCGAAAAAAAAAAAAAAAAAAAATGAGTGAGCACTTTACCAGCAAATAAACACCAATGAGAGAGGGAACAGCAGTCACAAGATGTGTTTTAACAGAGATAGTTAATTAAATATTTTCTAATACACTTATTGAACCTAGATTTAATGGAATTTTTTTCCTTTCCTGACTTTGGCAAATGTGTGTATTTTTATAGAGAACATGGTTTTACATATGCAATTTTCAGACTTTAAGTCAGGCCCATCACCAACGCTCTATGAGTTGAGTGGCCTTGATATGTGGTCCATGTATTTTTGAATCAGGGGTGGGAGGCTATCAAATGAGTCAAAAGCTGATTTTCCTAGCTTTCATTATGAACACCTCTCTGGCTGCTCTTCTTTTTGACTTTACCAAACAAATTAGTTAGTATTCCTAAATGCAAGGTATATTAACATAAGAACTAAATAAATTTTTAAAATAAACACACACACAGACACACACACACACACACACACACACACACACAGCACTCTCCATATTTACTTCTACTTTGAATAGCAAACAAGCTGTGTTCCTGGGCCTGTGGAAGAAATATGAAGTTTGAAAAGATTTTTAAATAACTTTTTCTTAATGAAAATAACTCTGTAGTAATTACTGTTTTAAAAAGCCATTAGAATTTGAGCATAACACAGTTTCAATCTTGTCTCTATTCCAACTTAAAGTCCTGTCCAACAATCTCATTTTATGTTCTGTTGAATCACAAAATAAAAATTTGTATATTTTAAAGTATTTGATGGAGGAGGAGGAGGGAAGAAAGAAGAGGAGGAGGAGGAAGAACATGCCAAATGCAGCTGGAGAAGGCCATGAAAAGAGAATTCTCACGCACATATGCCTGATAACAAGAACTATCACGAAAGACTGCAAAAACCACAATCTTGCCATTGCAACCTTGTAAAAAAACACTTCTGCAAGGACATATGTCCAGCAAATGCCTGTCCAACCTTGGACTGGCACCACCCTTGTTATTGATCCTTGTAATCAAGGATAACTATGTCAAAACAATTGTGTAATCCTCCACATTTTTTCTTTAAATACCTTTGTCTTCCTTTACCTCCCTGAATGCATACATAGTTGACTATGGCACATGTATTCCTACTGAAATACCCTATCCCCAACCCAGTGTTCTTTACAGAGTCTCTCTCTCTGTTCGTTATTTAGGTTGACACCTTGCACCTATTGATTGATAACATTTATTTTCCAGGATGCACTTATCATTGTTGTAATTAAGTATTAATAGTGCAATCATTTGCTTAATGCTCATAACTTCCTTCTTGACTGTACATTTGTTGAGGTCAAGTAGTATGTCTGTTTAAATCATTCCCTAGTTCCAGGGCTTGGCAAATTCCTTGGACCAGATGAGCTCAATGCATATTTGTTATGTGAGTGAATATATGACTGATACTAAAGTAACTTAAAAAATAATTTATACCAATGATTTATCTCTCTCAGAGTTGGTCCTTATAAATGCTATATGAATCACTCCAAAACAGTACCGACTCTCGTAACAAATCCCATGAATGTGTAATTTCATTTTAATGCTGAATTGGCCCAATTTTAAACAGCATCTGGATGATCCTTTGTAATGGAGTCCCATCTAAGTTCCTATTAAAAAAGAAAGAAAAAAAAATCAGTAAAACAAAGCAAACAATGTAAACTTAAAACAACACTAATTAGTAAAACTGACACCCAATATGCAGACTAATCTAGAAGGAATTTTTACTAACTATAAGAACAATTAAGTTAAACTGGCCCATCCATATTTTGTTTTATGAAATGGAAGAATTTCCTCAATATAAAACTCATGTAAGACGGTAGTTGCCTCTTCCCAGCCTGTCCCTGAGTCAGACTCTCGGAGTGTCCCAGAAAATGGACACTTACTCCTTTACGGCTCCATTCTTACTTTTTGAGGGGACAGGTCCTAGCCACTCTCACATATCTTACATACTAAGCTCCTAGAAAGATAGAGGATACAATAAAAACCAACCAACCAACCAACCATGTGTCAGGTGCCTGTCAGGCCTGGGCACACAGTTCACTCAAGAAAAGCCCTGGGAGGGGAGGCAGCAGAATTGCCAGTCTAGCAATTTGTAACTCCAGTGGCCCAGGTCTTAGCCACATGACCTGGCTGGCATTGTTCTCTCCCTTCTTGCTTCCCTCCAAGCATGAACTCAGCCTCTTTTCTTTCCTTCCCTCCCTATGTTACATTGTTATTTCATACAATGGGATTTTAATAAGTTTGGGGAGCCAGTAGAGAGGGATTATAAAGCAAAACAGGAAACTACTGATAAGCAACTTGCATCATACCAACTGGCCGTTGAAGATTATTTTTCAAGTAAAATACAGCCTTCCTTTAGAACCTCTACCCAGAAAGCAGTAACATCAATAATCTATAAAGTAGCACTCATTCTTGCCACCACCAGCACGCTGCATTATCCGTGCATGCTAGGTATTGTGTATGTCTTGTACGACAAGCCAAACAAAATACTAGAGGTCTCCACTTTAGCTTAGCTGAGCTATTCCAATAAATACTTGCTCACTACTGAGAGGAGCTGTGCATTCCCTGCAGATCAGAGAAAGGGCCTTAGCCAATTTCTCAAAGGTAGAAGAATCATTTAAAAAATGATCATTTCCTGTTAGATATTAATGATATGGTTTTGCTGTGTCCCTACCCAAATTTAATCTTGAATTGTAGTTCCCATGATCTCCATGTGTCCTGGGAGGGCCCAAGTGGAGGTAATTGAATCATCAGGCTGGGTTTTTCTATGTGCTGTTCTTGTGATAGTGAGTAAGTTTCACAAGATCTGATGGTTTTATACGGGGCAGAAAGGGAAGTTCCCCTGAACACACTCTTGCCTGCCACCATATGAGACATGCCTTTGCTCCTCCTTCGCCTTCGGCCGTGATTGTGAGACCTCCCCAGCTACCAGGAACTGTGCGTCCATTAAACCTCTTTTTCTTTGTAAATTACCCAGTCTCGGATATTTCTTCATAGCAGTATAAAAATACACTAAGACAATAATTGGTACTGGCAGAGTAGGGTACTGCTATTAAGATATCCAAAAATGTGGAAGCGACATTGGAGCTGGGTAACAAGCAGAGGTTGGAACAGTTTGGAAGGCTCAGAAGAAGACAGAAAAATGTGGGAAAGTTTGGAACTTCCTAGAGACTTGGAGGGCTCAGAAGACAGGACAATGTGGGAAATTTTTGAACTTCCTAGACATGTTGAATGGCTTTGACCCAAATGCTGATAGTGATATAAACCCTAATATCTGGGCCGGAGATGGAGATGAGGATCTTGTTGGGAACTAGAGCAAAGGTGACTCTTGTTAAGCTTTAGCAAAAAAGACTAGTGGCATTTTGCTTCTGCTCCAGAGATCTATGGAACTTTGAACTTGAGAGAGATGATTTAAGGTATCTGGTGAAAGAAATTTCTAAGTGGGAAAGTGTTCAAGAGGAAGTAGAGCATAAAAGTTTGGAAAATTTGCAGCCTGATAATGCAATAGAAAAGAAAAACCCTTGGCCGGGCGCAGTGGCTCACGCCTGTAATCCTAGCACTTTGGGAGGCTGAGGCGGGCGGATTGCCTGAGCTCAGGAGTTCGAGACCAGCTGGAGCAACATGGTGAAACCTCATCTTTACTAAAATGCAAACAATTAGCCAGGTGTGGTGACGTGCACCTGTAGTCCCAGCTACTCGAGAGGCTGAGGCAGGAGAATTGCTTGAACCCAGGAGGCAGAAGTTGCAGTGAGTCGAGATTGCGCCACTGCACTCCAGCCTGGGCAACAGAGTGAGACTCCGTCAACGAAAAAAAAAAAAAAAGAAAAGAAAAAAGAAAAACCGACTTTCATTAAAGCCTCCTGCAGAAATTCGCATAAGTAACGAGGAGCCAAATGTTAATCACCAAGACAATGGGGAAAATGTCTCCAGGACATGAAAGACCTTCACATCTTCACAGCAGCTCTTTCCACCACAGGCTCAAAAGCCTAGTATGGAAAAATCATTTCCTGGAGCAGGGCCAGGTCCCCCTGCTGTGTGCAGCCTAGAGACGTGATGCCCTGCATTCCAGCCACTCCAGCCATGGCTTGGGTGGGAGACACCATGGTACAGCTCAGGCCATGTCTTCGGAGGTTGCAAGTCGCAAGCCTTGGCAGCTTCCACAAGCTGTGGAGCCTGCAGATGCACAGAAGTCAAGAATTCAGGTTTGGGACCCTCCACCTACATTTCAGAGAATGTATGGAAACACCTGCATGTCCAGGCAGAAGTTTGCTTTGGCAGGGCGGGGGGCAGGGGCGGGCGCAGGGGCTCATGAACAACTTCTTTTAGGGTAGTAGAGGTGTGAAATGTGGGCTCTGTCCCCCATACAGAGTCCCTACTGGGGCACTGCCTAGAAGAGCTGTGAGAAGAGGGCCACCATCCTCCAGACCCCAGAATGGTAGTTACACCATCCTCCAGACCCCAGAATGGTAGATCCACCAACAGTTTACACTGTGTACCTGGAAAAGCCATACAAAATGCCAGCTAGTGAAAGCAGCCAAGAGGGAGGCTGTGCCCTACAAAGCCACAGAGGCAGAGCTGCCTAAGGCCATGGGAGACCACCATTTGTGTCAGTGTGACCTGCATGTGAGACATGGAGTCAAAGGAGATCATTTTGGAACTTTAATGTTTAATGACTGCCCTGTTGGATTTCAGACTTGCATGGAGCCTGTAGCCCCTTTGTTTTGACCAATGTCTCCCATTTGGAACAGGTGTAAATACATTGGGGGTACCCAATACCTGTACCCCCATTGTATGTAGGAAGTGACCAACTTGCTCTTAGTTTTACAGGCTCATAGGTGGAAGGGACTTGTCTCAGATGAGACTTTGGACTATGGACTTTTCAGTTAATGCTGAAATGAGTTAAAACTTTGGGGGACTGTTGGGAAGGCATGATTGATTTTGAAATGTGAGAACATGAGATTCAGGAGGTGCCAGGGGAAGAATGATATGGTTTGGCCATGTCCCTACCCAAATCTCATCTTGAATTGTAGCTCCCATAATCCCCATATGTCATGGAAGGGACCCAGTTGGAGGAACTTGAATCATGGGGATGGGTTTTTCCCTGTGCTGCTCTTGTGAAACAGAATAAGTCTCACAAGATCTGATGGTTTTATAAAGGGGAGCTCCCCTGCACATGCTCTCTCTCTTGCCTGCCACCATGTAAGACATGTCTTTGCTCCTCCTTTGCCTTCTGCCATGATTGTGAGGCTTCCCCAGCCATGTGGAACTGTGAGTCCATTAAACCTTTTTTTCTTTATAAATTACCCAGTTTCAGGTATTTCTTCATAGCAGTATGAAAGTGGACTAACACAATATCAAGCCCTGGTTTGGGGTAATAATCACTACCTTCTAGGTAACCAGAATGCAAAAAATATAACAGAAAAAAAATCCTAAAAATCATCCTGCATACAAGAAAAATGAAACCGCCATTCTCCATTCTCAATTAACCAGGGACACAATGCACTGCAGAAAGCCTCAGGGACCTCTGCCCAAGAAAGCCTGGGTGTTGTCCAAGGTTTGCCCCCACTGAGATGGGATAGAAGTCTCTGACTTCTGAACTGGACACAGGAGTTCTCAAAATCACCAGACAAGGCAGTGAGATGGCATGGTAAATGGTAAGGGAGGTCTCTTTGCGGTTGAGATAAGAGGAATGCTTTGGTCTCCTGCTCATCCCTGGGAATGGAATGTCTCAGTGTAAAGCTGACCATTCCTATTCATTCTATTCTGAGATAGGAGAAAACCACCCTGTGGCTAGAGGTGAGATATGCTGGCAGCAATACTGCTCTGTTACTCTTTGCTAAACTGAGATGTTTGTGTAAAGAGGAACATAAATCTAGCCTATGTGCACATCTGGGCACAGTACCTTTCCTTGAACTTATTCATGATACAGATTCCTTTGCTCACATATTTCCCTGCTGACCTTTCCCCACCTGTTGCCCTGCTACACTCCCATCACTAACATAGTAAAAATAATGATCAATAAATACTGAGGGAACTCAGAGGCCAGCGCTGGTGCGAGTCCTCTGTATGCTGAGCACCGGTCCCCTGGGTCCACTGTTCTTTCTCTATACTTTGTTTCAGTGTCTTATTTCTTTTCTCAGTCTCTCCTCCCACCTGACGAGAAATACCCACAAGTGTGGAGGGGCTGGCCCCCTTCGATGTCTATTATGGTGGAGTGTTTCCAGTTCTGTCTTTCCTAATACTGCCCAATAGAAACTTGACTCCTAGAGTTTGTGTAATTTTAATATATTTTAGCCATTTCCCTGTCAATTTTTATACCATACAATAACAAGGAATTTGACTAAATCTCTTAGGGTTTTTTAAAAAATTATATGAGAAGCTAAAAAATTTATTTTTACTAAGGTAAAAGAAAAAGGAATAATCACAACAATAGCCATAATTCTTCTGTCTATGAAGAGCCCTTCAGGTGGTGACATCAGAACTCACAACAACAGCATAAGGGAAGTAGAACAAATGCAGCCAAAGTCCCCCGTACACCTCCCTTTTCTCTTCTAACCACAGAATTCAATCGTGTATCCGTTTACTCTGGAATGAAAGTATCTGTAGAAACCATGAATGTTTCATCTGTTTTTCTTTTCTTTTCTTTTCTTTTTGAGACGGAGTCTTGCTCTGTTGCCAAGGCTGGAGTGCTGGTTGCTCTGTTGCTCTGTTACTCTGTTGCCCAGGCTGGAGTGCAGCTTACATCTTTGCTTCCTGGGTTTAAGTGATTCTCCTGCCTCAGTCTCCCGAGTATCTGTGACTCCAGGTGTGTGCCACTATGCCTGGCTAATTTTTTGTATTTTTAGTAGAGACCATGTTTCACTCTGTTAGCCGGGATGGCCTCAATCTCTTGACCTTGTGATCCACCCGCCTCGGCCTCCCAAAGTGCTAGGATTACAGGCATGAGCCACCGTATCCAGCCTCATCTGTTTTTCTAATGTGTAGTGTCCAGCCCTACGGGGTTTAGCAGGTGTTCTCCCTGTGTGCGGAGACGAGAGATTATAATAAATAAAGACACAAGACAAAGACATAAAGAGAAAGCAGCTGGGCCCGGGGGACCACTACCACCAAGACGCAGAGACCACTAGTGACCCCGAACAGCTGGACGGGCTGATATTTATTGCATACAAGACAAGGGGGCAGCGTAAGGAGGGTGAATCTTCTAAGTGATTGACAAGGTGAAGCAAGTCATGTGATCACAGGACAGGGAGCCCTTCCCTCTTAGGTAGCCGAAGCAGACAGAGAGAAGGAAGCATATGTCAGCGTTTCCTTCTATGCACTTATAAGAAAGAACAAAGACTTTAAGACTTCCTTCTACCATTATCTACTATAGACTTCAAAGAGGAACCAGGAGTATGGGAAGAACATGAAAGTGGACAAGGAGTGTGACCATTGAAGCACAGCACCACAGGGAGGGGTTTAGGCCTCTGGATGACTGTGGGAAGGCCTGGATAATTTATCCAACCTCTCACAAGAAGCTGGTGGAGCAGAGTGTTCCCTGACTCCTCCAAGGAAAGGAGACTCCCTTTCATGGTCTGCTAAGTAATGAGTGTCTTCCCAGACACTGGCATTACCACTTGACCAAGGAGCCCTCAAGCGGCCCTTATGGGGGCGTGAGAGAAGGCTCACCTCTTGCCTTCTAGGTCACTTCTCACAATGTCCCTTCAGCACCTGACCCTATACCCGCCGGTTATTCCTAGGTTATATTAGCAATGCAATAAAGAGTAATATTAAAAGCTAATGATTAATAATGTTTATAATAATGATTGATAATTGCCCATGATCATCTCTATATCTAATTTGTATTATGACTATTCTATTCTAACAATTTTCTTTATTATACTGAAACAGTTTGTTTCAGTCTCTTGCCTTGGCACCTTGGTGACCTTTCGCCCACACTAATGGTCATATAATATAGTTTAGATGTCTCCTCCAAATCTCATATTGAATTTTAATCCCTAATGTTACAGGTGGGGCATGGTGGTAGATGGTTGAATCATGGGGATAGATTTCTCATGGCTCTGTGCTGTCCTTGTCATAGTGAGTACTCACGAGATGTGGTGGTTTAAAAGTGAAGCATACCCCTCCCTGATCTTTCCTGTTTCAACTCCTACCATGTGAGATTCCTGCAGCTCTTTCATTTTTCATCATGATTATAAGCTACTTTAGATGTTAATATTGTTACAAAATTTCACTGAATTTTCTTGTAAAATTACCTGACAAAGTTTATGTTATTATACCATTAATGTGATAAATAAATATATTATGACATTACAACATATTATGATATCATAATTCATATGTATTATGACATCACAATATATTATGACATCATAATGCACACACAACATGACATCATAATATATTATGGCATCATAATTTATACTACAACATCACAATATATCATGACATCATAATGCACATGTATTATGACATCAAAATTCATAGGCATTATCACGTCACAGTATATTGTGACACCATCATCAGTATGTGTTATGACATCACAATATATTATGACATTATACTTCATATGTATTATGGCATCACAGTACATTATGACATCGTACTTTGTATATAATATGATGTATCATGAATTATTATGTAATTGATATGTATTACATATCTATTAGATGGCTCTGGATGTCTTGGGCTCTGTGGGGCAGGCTGGGGGTCAGAGGAGACACACATGCTGCAGATGGGGAGACTGGGGCACAGGGTCCTGGGGTTCCAGGAGCAGTGAGGAGGCCAGGATTGGCCTGTGGGGACTTTGATGTTGGCTCTGGGTGAGGTGGCTACTGTAGGTGTGAGCACAGCAGTGCTTGGGGGCTCAGGTGGCTGCCAAGGGGCAGATGGATGGAGGGGACAAAAGCTACAGCCCAGCAGGAGGGCAGGGTGGCCATGAGGGTTGTAAAAGTGATGCCAACAGCATTTGTGGGGGATTGGCTGTGGGTGTGAAACAGCAGCAGCGGAACAATTCCCAGTCATTCTGGCCTGGAACAGTGGCAGGTGAACTCTGCCCAGTTGTGGAGGGGTCTGTCAGGAAGATGGGGCTTCTGGTTTCAGAGGAGCCCAGAGATGTGCTCAGGCAGATGAGGGTCCTCATGGGATAGGCATGGGAGAGGCAGCTGCAACTTGGGGACCACTGGTGGTGGGCTGAGCCCCTGAGACCTCTGGAGTGAGCAGGAAAGAAAGTGAGGAGGAGCCAGCCAGGGAGCCAGAGGCAGAGGGAAGAGAGGAAAGTAGACCCCGGGAGGAGCAGACAGGAAAGGATGAAAATTTCCCCTCACCTGCCTCAGCAGCCTCTGCCCCTGCCCACACACCCTTGTGCACTCCCCCTGAGCCCCTGCTCACCTCTGCCTACCCAGCCATCCCAGGATGGTGTGGGCTCAAGCTCTGGGGGTAACTGAAGAGCCACTTTAAGAAGGCACAGTCTAGAAGTGAGCAGCATTGAGTCACTGTTGTCTCCCAGTCCTGGGAACATCCTGTGCCACAGTTTGCTGAGCTGTCTTAATCACCAGTGGGTCCCCATCTCCCACCCCTGGAATCCCAGAGGACAGCTCAGAGTTGTGATTGGTGCCTCTTCCCAGCGTCTCTCTACACAGCTCCCGGCTGTGCTTCAGCATCCTCCACCGAAAGGTGGGCCTGTCGCTGCATGTGAATGGCAAGGAGGTCACTGTGGGGAAGCGGCTGCCTCCTTTCTCTTTCCTGGGCCCCTGGTGCCTCTCTCCTGGGGGTAAGGCAGTTGAGCCTACCCACAAGTCCAGGCAGGAAGGCAGCCCCACCCCAGCACCCAGAAATTAGAAAAACTAGCTGAGGTGTGAGAGGGGGAATGGTGACAGCCCTGGAAGTCAGGATAAAAAAGAGACGAAGCCTCCAGGCCGCCATCCTCACCAGTGCCCACCGGGCCCTGAAGCTCTGCAGGGGGTGGCTTATGGGCTCAGAGGCTTGTGGACCAAGGCTTCTCAGCTGCTTCTGAGGCTCCCAGCTCTGCAAGGGGCTGGGTTTCTTCTCCTGGTAAACTGCTCCCAATGCCTGTCCTGACTCACTCACTTAGCTGGGCTACCTGCTGGGCCTCCTTCCTGGTGGGCCCTCCCCATGTGCCTCCCTGTGCAGGTGGGGTATCCCCTCGAGACTCCATTATTCTTTGAGGCTTTCAGGCCAGGATGAAGAACCCCAGCCTCTCAGCAGGAGCAGCCACTTGGGGGAAGCAGAGGGAATAGAAAGGCACACATTGCCAGCTCTGAGCATGACTGGGTGGGGACATTGTGTTGAAGCTCCTGGGAGCCTCATTCAGCCCAAGTAGATGTCCTTGACATGTCAACACTCTCCCTACACAGGAGAAAAACATGAGACTCGGAGTGGGCAGGGTGATCTTGAATCGGGGGTCTGGTCAGATGGGTCTCTGTTCCTCGCCTCAGCTATGGCCTTCATGTGTGCTTCCACCAGCAGAGACCCCTTCCTGGACTTTGCCCCAGTGGATGGACAGGAAACTGCCAGCCATGCTGGCCACCACAACCAACTTTCACTGCCTGGCTCCTAGCAACCCCACTCTCTCCATCTCCTGGCTGAAGAACCACAAGAGGTCTAAGGAGAGCATCACATCAGGATATTGAGGTGGGCCTGGAAGTTGGTGGGAGTGTGGGCTGGATGTGGAAGGTGGGACCTGTCTTTTGCTTACCTGTCCTTCCACCTGGAGCTATGGCACCAGAAGTAGACCCTGATCATGGAGTGTGGTGCCCTCAGACTGCTTTCATCCCACCTCTGTGATGAAGAACAAGTGCAGCAGCCTTCAGCAGTCATGCATGCTGGACAGCTGGGTGAGGACTGTGGCCTGTGGGCAGGGTGCAGGGAGCTAGGCAGCCTCTGAGCTCCCATCTATTCTCTCAATGTGCCCTCCTGACCAACTCTTTCTACCTGCAGGACTGCTGACCAACCAGATGCAGTAAGGTGAAATTCCACTGCAAAGTGTATGGCAACTTAGTATGTGGAGGTGAACAACAGCAAGGTGGGTGTCAATGGCATGCCCTATGTGACTGTGCTTAGGTTAGCTGCTGCTGCTTG
This sequence comes from Homo sapiens, assembly GCF_000001405.40. NCBI lineage: Eukaryota > Metazoa > Chordata > Mammalia > Primates > Hominidae > Homo > Homo sapiens. The sequence goes on from NC_000016.10 coordinate 33,286,788, forward strand.
TCAGGAGCATGGGGATGGCATGCCGATGCTCCACTTCACTAAACTCTACCATCATTATAGAAGTTTTGGAGTAGCCTATGAAAGACAGAATCATGTCATTATCCAAGAGACAAAATCCTCTAGAGTAAGCAGTTCTCCTGGATATAAACTTGGTGCTGGTTCATTTAGCATTTGCTACGAACCAATGTCTAAAATTAGAGGCAGTTTCTCCTAAAGTGAGATGACATGAGTCAGTTGATAAAAGTGTGAAGCACTCCTGTGAGTATTGTCCCTCATAATTCATTCAAAAACATTTGCTTCTGTCTTTGCAACTTCATGCTCTCTGAATTCCCACACTGAGTAAAAACCTCCTTGGTGGGCTTATAATCAATCTCACATATTTAACAATTTGGATTTTATCTTACGTTCCGCTATAAAATATGGAACAAAATCGGTTTGATTTACAGTAGATGTAAAATAGAAAAATTAGGATGGGCTATTCTGGACATGTAGAATTAGTTCCTTTCATGGGTTTTCTACAAACCTGTATTTATTACACTAAAATAATGCTAAAATATATTTTGTTTTATTGTGTGGAGTTTAAATGGATACACTGGATAATGGAATAACATTAACTAAATAAACATTGATGCCTATTTTTTTCAGTGTTTTAAAATTTTTTAACAAAGATTTCTTTTTACGGTAAAATTGCACTTCATTAAATCTACTCCTAAATATTTCTTTCTTTTTCATACATACACAAATGGATTGTTTTTTTAATTTTATTTTCAGGTTGATCATTGTTAGTACATAAAAGTACAATTGAACTTTGCATATTGATTTTGTATCTTGTGACCTTGCTGAACTCATGTATTGGTTTTAGTGGGTTTTAATGAGTTTTTTATAAACTTTTATATTCACTTATGTCCTCTGCAATGATAGACAATTCTAACATCTTATTTTCCCACATTGATGATTTTGTTTTTTTCTCTCATGTAATTTCTTTGGATGTTAACATTTTTGCCTTGTTCTAAAATGTCAAGACACAACAACCAGTATTTTACTATTATGGCGTTAGGTGTAAGTTTTTCACTGATGCTCTTTAGCAGATTTAGGAAGTTTGCTTGTACCCTTCCTTTCCAGGGAGATTGTGAATGAATATTGGATTGGTCAAATGCTCCCTGTGTCTGTTGAAAGGCTCTTTCTGTTAATTTCCTTTATCCTATTACTTTGTGTAAGGCACTGATTGATTATCGGATAGATCAATATTGCATCTGTAAAATAATTCCATTTGGTCATGGTGTACATTCATTTTGATATATTCTTGATTCATTTCGCTTTTTTGAGAATTTCTCTGTGTGTATTCATCAGGGAAATTCATCCATACACATATTTACTTCTGATGCTTTTGTCTGCCTTTAGTATCAGGGTAATACTGGCCTCACAGAACAAATTGGGAAGTGTTCCCAATAACTGTCCCATATTTTCTGGAAGGTCTTGTAAAGAGTTGGCATTAATTCTTCATTAAATGTTTAGTAGAATTTACCAGTTAAGCCATGTGGCTCTGGGCTTCTCTTTTTGTGAAGATTTTTAATTAATTGAATCTCTTTACTTGTTATATGTGTATTCATATATTCTGTTCCTTCTTGGATTTGCTTTTATAATTGGTGCCTATTGAGGTATTTATTTCTAATTTGTAGTATTTCATGTGTTTAGGTTTTCTAGACAGTTGGCACAGAAGATTCAAGAAGTTTAATGTAGGAGAATGTTTAATGTAGGAGAATGAGGCTTTGGTGTCATCAATGAATGACTTGAAGTTTCTTATGTTGTAAAGAAAGATATGACCGTAACTGCCATAGTTAATATTTATTGTGCAAGTCAAATAAGAAGGCAGGAGGAAAGGACATCCATCACTCAATCACACACCAGTGTACTCATTAAAGCCTTTGAGAAGGACCCTCAACATTTTCCAAGAGAATTCCTTTCCTGGAATCACCATTATAGAGAAACTGGCTAAACAGACAGGCATTTCAGAGTCCAAAATTTACATTTGGTTTCAGAACCAAAGACCTCAGCTCCCAGGCCACAGCAGAAGCGGGCTTGTGAATTCCCTGGCAGCGGGTCCAAGACCAAGACCTCATCTGACTGTTTGGCTGGAACAAAACATGTGCACTACCCCAGGCAGGTCTCATCTTCTTCCTGCCTCCTATTCTGTCAGCAGCCACCTGTCATTTGTACCAGCTCTTCCTTCACCTCCCACAACCTGTGATTTTTTGGATCCCTCTGCAGGCTGTGTGAGCCAGGCACCAAGGGTCACGATGCACATAGCACCCTGGCTGTGCAGATGGGAGAGTTCTCTCAACCTCTTCTGGCACTTAGGAGTCATATGTCAATGGTACCAACTCTAGGAGGGAGGCTCTCCCATACACAGACTTGTTTCTGGCCTCAGTCGAAAGGAAAACTTTAGGATGACAAGAAAAATAAGACACTGGCCTGGAAGTTCTGCCTTAAAGGGACAGCCACAGCCTGGTCATCCTTAGCCACAATTTTAGAGTCTGGGTCAACAGGACACATCCCACCTTCAGAAGTGGTGGAGCTTAGGCAACGGGTCCCAGGATGCCATGATTCAATGGCAACCTGGAGCAGGAGCACCTTAGTAGCCCATGCACATAGGTCTACCTGTGGCAGAAACAGGCACAAGCCATGAAAGAGCCATCTATCTGCTGGAGCAACCACACCAGTCATCTGCATGATCTTCTACAAGTCCCAGAGTTTCAGGAAAAGGCACAATCTTTTCGGAATGCAGATCCACAAGAGGAGGGCCCTCCGTGGTCTGAATCACCACTCAGTGAGAAAGAATTTCAGGCTCTGCTTAACAGGCTGCAGAGCTCACCAGGGGATCAGCTTTAGCAGGCAGGCATCCTTCTCAGCACTGCCATCCAGGACTCTTTCCCTTGGACACAAACAGCAAAATGCCAGGAAGACGGGACCAGGAACACAGTGTGGTCAGAAGCAAGACTGATGCAAGAAGCAACCACTTGGAAATCCAAAGGGAGCATTTTGGCCCTCTCCTGTGGGCAGCCCTCAACTTTGGTGCTCACTTCCTAACCTCAGTGACGGTTTCTGAGCTTCATCCTGCCTCTGGAGTCCACATGGGCTCCAGGCGGTGAACAGTTTCACTGAATCCTGATGCAGCAAAGCAGCATTCTCATGACAAACAGGACCTCTTCACTTTGATCATAAGCTCCTGGGCCATCTGGACAATGCACAAACTGGAAACCCAGCAAGGGGAGGAAAGTAGCTCTAAGGGGGACACATTCCCACTTCTTTCCCTTCTAGCAAGTTTGAAAGCTAATTGTAAATGCAGGTGGATATGTAGAAAATGAGGGCATGCTATAACTTCTCATCACATGAGGTTATGACCAGGAGTTTTTAATCCTAGCTCTGAGAGCTGCAAATGGGAATTGGAAGTTTTTCCACTAAGCATCTATCAATGACTGATTGTGCAAGCTTATCTTCATCATGCTGAGGAGTCTTCACTGAGAATTTTCCTATTGAACAAATAAACATAGAGATAGTGACAAGTAGGCCAGGCATAGAGGCTCACGCCAGTAATCCCAGCATTTTGTGAGACCAAGGTGGGCAAATCAGTTGAGGCCAGGAGTTCGAGACCAGCCTGGGCAACATGTCAAAACCCCGTCTCCACTAAAAACACAAAAAACAGCTGGGCATGGTTACTCATGCTGGTAATTCCAGATATTCGGGTGGCTGAAGCCTGAGAATCTTCTGAACCCAGGAGGCAGAGGCTGCAGTGTGTTGATATTTTGCCACTGTACTCCAGCTTGGGCAACAGAGCAAGACTCTGTCTCAAAAAAAAAAAAAAAAGAAGCAAGTGAGTAAGAGAGAGAAAACTATAAAATCACTGAACAAAGTGTAAAGATGTTAATTTTCCCACAACGTTAGAAATTTTGTGTATATTTACATGCATATCTACACATAAAGCTGATCTCCTTATATGTTAAATCAGTTACATGTTCAGTGAAAAATACATTATTTTCTCTGTTTTAACACTGAAGAGGGGTGCACGTGGTCCAGACATGTCCTGTTGGAGTTGAATGGGGCATGTTCTGGGAAAAGGGGAAAGGCAGAGTAAGGGCCTGGTGCATTTAGGTGGGGTAAAGTGGGACTCTAATAGAGAGGCATCCAGGGTCTGGGCCCTAGCAACACTGAGGCTCACGGGGGCTTCTGCAGGTGAGGGAAATGGTGCAGGGTGCTGAAGGCTAAAATATCCTGTAACAGGCGAAGATCTGGCCAGATCGTCCTGCATTCCAGCATCATTGCCAGCCAGGCCTAACTTGACCCTATATTGAAGACACCTGGGATGGACAGGCGTGAGCCTCCAGGCTTCAAAGAGCCCCCAAATGAGATCTGCCCTGCGGCAAGGGTCCAGACCGTTACGGCCAGGCCAATTTAAAAGAGCCCCATCTCCTCTGTTCTCAGAGGCTTAAGCGGGTGGAGAACAGATAAGAAGTGAACTGAAGTCTCCTTGAAAAAAACAAAGTCCCATGGGGTTTGCCACCCCCTCCCCCCACCCACCTAAAACTGGAACCAGTCAGCCACCTCTGTCTCTTCTCCATGCCAAGAACCTCTGTTCAGGGCTCCTGGCAAACCCCTCCTCCCTGCTGCCTCCCCGCCACAGTACGCTTGCCAGGAATGCCCGAGATCTGGCACCTGAGCATGTTGCGTGGCAGGCGGGGGAGCAAGCGGGACAAGGGCGGCGATGTGTCCTGCACAAAGGCCCAGGCTGCAGACCAACTCGCCTCGCAGCAGGTAGCAGCTGTGTGCCCCCTGCCAGGCCACTCCCCCTCCCGGAGCAGCAGCTCCCGCTGCCACTTCTGTTTGTTGAACACAGGATGTATGAATGACGGCTAGGGAGCCAAGGATGGGGATGGTGGCGACATCTGATACTGTTGTAGTAAAACTCCAGCCAAGGAACACGAAGAGACCTTTGGAGACCAAAGAGAACTTTTATTTAATTCAGGCACCTGAGCCAACAGCAGGCTCATGCCCAAAATGGCTGCCGACCCCTGCAAAGAAAGCAGGCTTGCTTAAGTGCCGTTTGAGGCGGGAAAACAAGGCAGGTTACAGGTTTCAGACAAAGACAGTAAATTATCCAACCCGTGACAATTCGGAGAGAACTTACAATTTAGTTATTTTGTCCAGTCAACTTTGAAGCTGAACAGAGCTGGGGTAAGGGAAAACACGAATTACAGGAATATGCGGGGGTCTGGAGGCAGGCAATAAGCTTGGAAGATTGAGATAAGCTCGCAGCTGCAACTTGTTAGCAATGCTGGAATGGACTGCTGAAATTTCTTAGCCTATGTATAACTTCTAAGTAACCTATGCTGAATGTTAACTATTACCTATGTTAGGTTTATTATTTTAAACTTTATTATTACTTATTTTATTTTATTTTCTTTCCACAGTATCTCTTACCATCCGGCCCAGGCAGCAGCCAGCCCTGCCTGGGCCGCGGCCGCCGGCCTCATGAGCCTGGCATTCCTGTCGCCCCCTCTCCCCATAGCTTGCCTCCTCCTTCTCACAGTCGGGCGCCCGGCTCCTCGAGACGCAGGACCACCTCAGATCTCCAGTCCTGCACCTGCCGGCTGAGCAAACGAGGAGACGGGGAGAAAAGCTGTCTGTCGTTCCTGAAGGAACAGGACCTCCGCACTCCAAGAAGGAATCCGGCGCCCAGTGGGGGCTGCAGGAGCAGAGGACCGTGGCGGCAGTAGCAGGAGAGGCAGGAGTAGGAGCAGTGGCTTCTCTGGAGGTGGCACTGTCTGCCCCCTTGAGCCTCTTCCTAACGCAGTCTTGATTCAAAATCCCTGCTCACCACGGATGCACAGTCACAGCTGAAGATTGTAGTTATCTAGGAGGATTCTTTCTTAGTTGTAAATCTATGTTTTATATAGGAGTTTTTTCGTTGTTTCTCTCATTCTTTTTTGAAATTTCATATTACTATTTTTTTTTTTTTTGGTAAGTTCCTTGACATTCGTGTTTTGTGAGTTTGGTTTTACCTACGTATTATGATTTTGGATGTAAATCTGCAACTCTATATACATGTTAAGTCAATGTGATGTTTAATCAAAATATGAATCAGCCATATCTACCACCAATAAAATCGTGTGTTTGTTTGCCTCTATAAATATAGTCTATTTCTTCTTAATTATCTTGCATATTTCTCTTCTTGGCTGGTGTCAAAAGTTGTTTTATCTTGTTCAGGACAGTAGTCATATAAGTAGTCTTAACTTACCCACGTATTTATTGAACAAATCTATATTTTCTTTGTGTGAGGAAAACACATTTATAATTTGAAGGTAATTTTCCAAAAAGTTTGTAACTCGGTATCTCTTTTATGTATCACTTTACAATATTTTAACTGTAATAAAACACAACAAAATTTACCAGTCTATACATTTGTAATTGCATAATTTATTAGTGGTACATATATCCACATTGTTATGCAACAGGCTTCTAGAGCTTTTCCATTGCAAAACTAAAACTCAATACCCATATACGTCAACTGCCCATTTTACCCTCTCCTGAGCCCTTAACATTTTACTTTCCATTTCTGTGAGTTGGACTACTTAAGATATCTCATAAGTGGAATCACACAATCACTGTCACTTTGTTTCCTGGCACATTTCACTTAACATCATGCCCTAAAGGTTTATTGTCATTGCAGCATGTGATAAGATTTCCTTTTAAAATCATATTTCATTGTATGTATATATCATATTTACTTATTTATCTGTCAAGGGACATTCAAGTAGCTTCTACCTTTTGGATTTTTAGAATAATTCTGTCATAAACGTGGGTATGTAAATGTTTCTTTCAGGTCCCGCTTTGCACATTTAGATAGATATCTAGAAATGGTATTGCCAGACCACATCATAATTCCAATTTTAATAATCTGAGGAAACTCTGTACTATTTTTCATAATGGCTGCATGATTATTTTTTCCACCACCCAGTGCACAAATATACCAATTTCTCTACATCCTTGAAAACACTTGTTATTTTCTCTTATTTGATAGTGGCCATCCTAATGAATGTGAGGTAATATCTCACTGGGGTTTTGCTTTTCATTTCTCTAAAGATTCATGATTTGCAGCATCTTTTAAAATTCCTCTTGGCCGTTTGTATATCTCCTTTGTAGAAACATGTGGGTGTGAAGGATTACCTAGGTGCCGAGGCAAGAGACTGAAGGTAAAAACTGTTGCAGTATAATAAAGAAAACAGTTAGAATAAAGAATAGTTATAACACAAATTAGATATAGAGATGATCATGGACATTATCCATCATTAGTATAAACATTATTAATCACTAGCTTTTAATATTACTCTTTGTTGTATTACTCATATAACCAAGGAATAACTGGTGGGTATAGGGTCAGGTGCTGAAGGGACATTGTGAGAAGTGACCTAGAAGGCAAGAGGTGAGCCCTCTGTCACACTCACATAAGGGCCGCTTGAGGGCTCCTTGGTCGAGCGGTAATGCCAGTGCCTGGGAAGGCACCTGTTACTTAGCAGACCATGAAAGGGAGTCTCCTTTCCTTGGAGAAGTCAGGGAACACTCTGCTCCACCAGCTTCTTGTGGGAGGCTGGATATTATCCAGGCCTGCCCGTAGTCATCCGGAGGCATAAACCCCTCCTTGTGGTGCTGTGTTTCAGTGGTCACGCTCCTTGTCCACTTTCACGTTCCTCCCATTCTCCTGGTTCCTCTTTGAAGTTCTTAGTAGATAGCGGTAGAAGGAATAGTGAAAGTCTTAAAGTCTTTGATCTTTCTTATAAATGCATAGAAGAAAACACTGATGTATGCTGCCTTCCCTCTCTGCTTTGGCTGCCTAAAAGGGAAGGGCCTCCTGTCCCATGATCACATGACTTGCTTGACTTTATCAATCACCTGGACGACTCACCCTCCTTACCCTGCCCCCTTGTCTTGTATGCAATAAATATCAGCGTGCCCAGCCATTCGGGGCCACTACTGGTCTCTGCGTCTTGGTGGTAGTGGTCCCCCAGGCCCAGCTGTTTTCTCTTTATCAGAAAGCTTACTACATTTGAGGTAGTCCCATTTTCCTGCTTTTTTCTTGTTACTTCTGCTTTTAATGTCATGTTAAAAAAATTATCAAGACAAATGTCATGATTTTTACCTTATATTTTAAGACTTTTATAGCGATCTTACTTACATTTAAGTGTTTAAGATAGTTTTCTATATGGTGCAAGTGAAAAGTCCAATTTTATTTTCTTCCATTTTGATACTCAATTTTAGAACACTATTCTGTTCTTCCCTGTTGTTCGGTCATGGCAGCCTGATTGAAGATTATTTGATGATATTCATAAAGGTTTATTTCTGGGTTCTCTATTCTGTTCCATCATCTATTTGTCTTTCTGTTTGTATTGCTATAGCTTTATAATATATTTTGGAATCAGGAAGTGTGATACCTCTAACTTTGTTCTTCTCCACAGCTACTTTGGCTACTCATTGTCCCTTGAGATTCCATATGAATTTTAAGACTTAATATTTCTGAAAAAAATGTAACATTGGGATTTTGATAGAAAATACTTTGAATTTGTGCTTCACTGTGAGTAGTATTGACATCTTAATAATATTAAATTTTCTGACCCTTGAACAAGAAGTCAAGAGTGTTCTGTTTTAAGTTTCACATATTTTTTCATTTGCCAGTTTCCTTCTGCTTGTGATTTGCAGCTGAGGTCTTTTTACGCTGCCCATGCTGGTCTCCAACTTTTGGGCTTAAGCTATTCTCCCTCCTCAGCCTCCTGATGTGTTTCAATTACATGGATGAGCCACTGCACCTGGCCTCTTTATTGTTTTTCTGATATTTTTAGGATTTGAAGGTAATTTTTGAAAAGATTGATAAATATGTATCTCTTTAGAAAGTTTTTCACTATTAATGTAGTCAAAACCACATAAAATTTACCATCTTAAATATTTTAAGTACATAGTTAAATAATATTAAATATATTCACATTGTTATGCAACATATCTCTAGAATGTTTTTATGTTGCAAAACTAAAATTCAATAGCCATGAAACAACAACTACCCTTTTATCTCCTCCCCTGAGGCTCTGACTGATACTATTCTACTTTCTGTTTCTAAGAGTTTAACTATTTTAGATATTTAACTGGAATCACACAGTGTCCTTTTATGACTCATTTATTTTATTTACATAATGTCCTCCAGATTTATCCTTAGTGTAAAAATAATCAGATCTCCTGCTTTTAAAAAACTGGATAATATTCCATTATTTGTATATTCCAATTTGTCTTTATTCACTGATTCATTGAGGGACATTTGGGTTGCTTCCACCTATCAGCTGTTGTGAATAATGTTGTGCAATGAATATGGATATACAAATAACTCTTCATTTGGCCATATATATGACAGTTTATTTCTGTGCTCTATTCTGTTCCATTTGTCTGTGTGTCTGCCTTTATGTCAGTACTAAATAGTTTGGTTACTGTAATTTTGTAATACATTATAAAGTCAAGGAGTGTGATGCCTCCAATATTATTTCTTTTTTTGAAGGTTGTTTGGCTCCTGAGAGTCACTTTAGATTCCATATAAGTTTTAGAAATGTTTTTTGTATTTCTGCCAAGTGAAATGACAGTTAAAATTTGATAGAGATCTCATTGAATCTGTAGATCATTTTGGGTAGTGTGGACATCTTCACAATATTGTCTTCCAACCCTTGAACGAGAGCATGCAGAAGAGTGCGTTGTTTAATTTCCACATATTTGTAGATTTTCCATATTTCTTCTGCTATTGATTTCTAATTTTATTCCCTTGTAATAAAAAATGATTGTAATATTTTAATCTTTTTTTTGAAACAGAGTTTTGCTCTGTTGCTCAGGCTGGAGCACAGCGGCTCAATCATGGCTAACCAGAGCCTCGATCTCCCAGGCTCAAGCAATCCTCCCCCGTCAGCCTCCTGAGTAGCTGGACGCACAGGCATGTGCCATTATGCCCAGCTAATTTTTAAATTTTATATTTTCTAAAGAGAGGGTCTCTTTATGTTGCCCAGGCTGGCGCCGAACTCCTAAACTCACTAATCCTCCCACCTCAGCCTCCCAAAATGCTGGAATTATAAGAATGAGCCACAATGCCTAGCCCATATTTTAACATTTTAAAATTTGGTAAAACTTGTTTTGTGTCCTAGTAGGTTATCTACTCAGGAGAATGTTTCATGACCTATTGGAAAAAGTGTGTATTCTGATATTGTTGTGTGAAGTGTTTTTTTTTTTCTTTTTTTTCACTTCTATTTGTAGCCTACACAGACCTATTGGACTGAACAAAGCAGGGTGAATGCAGGAATAAAAGACAAGAGACAAAGGGGTATATTTGGAAAAAGGGGTCAGGGGCACCTTGCCTCTAGTGGACAAGGTACCTGAGCTTTACACAGCCCTCCATATTTATTAGGTAAAAGAGATAGTGAGAAGGCGGGGGTGGTTTTCCACCAGCAGCTTGATTCACAGCTGACTCGAGAGACTGCATTCTTAGAACAATAGGCACTGGATTTCTCAGTAGATAACTTCAAGGAGCCTGGTGCCAGGGAATGAGGCCCTCAGCAAACCTTTTGGTGGCAGGGCAGTGTGAGTTTGCCCACATCCTGCATTCATGATAAACAGTTTGCTGTTTGATCATATAGCCTCCAGTGGAATGCTGAGTTGGTCATGTCCCATGGGCCTTCAGCTTCCTGAATCTATTCACTGTGATGAGTGTTTTCTATATGTCTGTTCGGTTTACAGAGTTTGCTACTGATAGTCGGATAATTATGTCTCTTACTATTTTTGCATAGCTATTTCTTTCTTCATCTGGGTCGATCTTAGCTTTATACATTTGGAAACCCCGATGTGAAGTGTACATATATTTATTATTAACACAGCTTCCCCAGTGAATCAACACTTGTATCATTATATACTATCTTTATTTGTCCTTTAATTCAGTTTTGACTTAATGTGTATTTTGCATAATTATGACCCCTCTTGCTCTCATTTGATTGCAATCTTCCTAGAAGATATTTTTCATACTTGCACTTTTAGCCTATCTGTGTGCTTAGATCTAAAGTGAGTTTCTTATAGACAGCAGAAAACAAATCGTTTTTTCTTTCAATCTCTTTAGCCAATTTACACATTTCTGTTGGAAATTTTACTCTATGTATATATTCATTTTAATTGTGAAAAGAATGGACTACTTCCATTTTGTTAATAGTTCTATTTGTTTCTTGTAGGTATTTTCTCCTCTTTTCTGCTCTTACTGCCTTCCTTTTTATTTAATTGATTTTTATAGTGACATATTTCTATTTAATTTGCCAAGGCCAAGTTGCAAGATAAAAAGTTTGCCTTTAATCTAGTCTCTCCACATCAGATCAAGCCTATGGACAGATCTAAAAACATGAGGTTTCCCTCTTCTGGGGCCCCACTTTTTGGACTGCTGTATGATCTCTGGAGGTTTGATGAGTCCACACCAAGCAAAAGTGGACAGCAGTGTTCCACCTGTGAACACTTGTTTCTTGTAGGCCCTACTGTCTCTCAGGGCACCACCTCTCTTATCCTTTAAACAGGAGTGATATTGGCAGAGAAGGGGCATTCACTCCTATCTGGCAGAAAAGGAGGATTCAGGCCCTTTAACCTCCCTAAGGTCAGAAAAGTCAGAGCCCTCAGAGATGCACTTGCAATGTGGCAGCCACTGGGCACAGGGGCTACTGAACAACTGTATTGTGCCCAGCATGAACTAAGATATGCTGGGGAGAAATACAAGAAAATATTTAAATATTTAGTTACATATACATATGTGCATAAAAATATATAATGCTGGGTTAAAGAAACATATGTCTATGTGTGTGTACGTATATATGTACACATATATATGTTTCTTTAATTATTTCATTCTGATTATATGTTAAAATATTTCAGATATATTGAGCTATGTTGTTAACATCAATTTCACTCATTTTTCTTTTTCTTTATGCTGCTACTAGCAAATTCTAATTGTCACATGTGGCTCACATTTTACTTCTATTGCACATTGGTGCAATAGAGGATTGCCTAATTTCAAAGCTCAGTTTGCCTCAAAAGCCAAGAGGCCAGAAAGATTGTAAAATCTAAAAATTAAAAATAATTGTAATTGGTTGGGCATGGTGGCTCATGCCTGTTATGCTAGCACTTTGGGAGGCCGAGGCAGGCGGATCACTTGACCTCGGTTCGAAACCAGCCTGGTCAACATGGTGAAACCATGTCTCTACTAAAACTACAAAAATTAGCTGGGCAACATGGTGGGTGCCTGTATCCCAGCTACCTGGGAGGGTGAGGCAGAAGAATCACTTGAACCTGGCAGGCGGAGGTTGCAGTGAGCCAATATCTCATCACTGTACTCGAGCCTGGGTGACAGAGTGAGACTCTGTCTCAAAAAAATGTAAATAAAAATAAAAATAATTGTTATTATTTTGTTTCTATTTTGAATAATACACACACACACCCCTCCCCCTTCACACACACACAAATAAGGCAGAGAAAGAAAGAGAGAATCTTGTTCTGTCACCCAGGCTGCAGTGCAGTGGCCTGATCTCAGCTCACTGCAGCCTCTACCTCCCAGGCTTAAGTGACCCTCCCACCTCTGCCTCCCAAGTAGCTGGGACCACAGACACGTGTGACCATGCCTGGCTAATTTTTTCATTTTTTTGTAGAAAAGTTTTGATGTGGGGCCCTCACATTCTGTTGCCCAGGCTGGTCCCAAACGCCTGGATTCAAGAGCTTCTGTCCCCTCAGCCTACCAAAGTGCTGGTATTAAAGGTGAGATCCACTATGCCTGGCCACATATATACAACTTATAAATAAAAATAACCTTATATACAAGGTTAAATGCAAATATCCCACAGTGAAGGCCGGGCTTCAGCATAAGGAGGAAGTCCTGCCTGAAAAAGGCTGCGGCTTGGAACATTTTACCCTGTTGTCATCTGGCTACGAGTTGGCTCACATCTTCTCTCATTCAGAACCTGAAGGGGTGGGGCCTGGGGCCGTATTATCCAATCACTAGTGCTGGGGTAAAAACTGTCTTAAAACTATTCTTTTAATGCTTAGCAATACTAATTTTTAGTGAGAAACTTAAGATTACTTAATTTAACATAACCAGACTTTAAGATTTTAAATTACTAAAAAAAAAAAAAAGAAACTTAAAATGATGACAGAGTTACTTCCTCTAATGTTTTTTGGTGAGGGTTTCAAATACCTATGTCATATATTGAAACCTACAGTTCTATAAGCCCTACCCTTAAATCAAAACAACCCTGATGCTATTGTGAACAGGTACTTAGCACAAATCCTACCCTTAGGCAAATTTATATAGTGATTTCAATTGTCCTTCACATTCCCTTTCCTGTGATAAGTGTCTGGGTTTAGGGGGTCACAGTGTGAGGTTCCACCATCTTCAGCTATCTGAGACATAGCTTCTATTAATAAATGTTCCTCTTAAATGTTTCTTTCTGAGAAACTTGATTTGTCAGCCTCATTCTTCAAACTCTCAGCTCCTTTGGCCTTTAAAGGTAGGTTTATATATATATATATACTCACAAGAAAACACCCTCATATATATAGTCTGTCAATTTCTCAAACATTGTTATGTGGTTCATGACTGTAATGTGTGCCACATGTAGTTTTGTACATGAATAGTATATTTTTTATAGCTACTTTCTATTACACATCACTAAAATACATGTTCAGTAAGTGCTCACTTAACATCATTGATAGGTCCCTGGAAACTGACTTTAAGTGAAACAAAATACTATATGCCATGGAAAATTAACTCTTGTTTATATCAATTAGCCAATGGTAAAATTGGTTTTATTATATAGTACATTGTTTTACTTAAAGTCACAGTTTCTGAGAATCTATCAAAAAAGGGAGAACATACTGTCATTAGTATTACAGTATATGGTACATTATAGCATTACACTATTATAGTATGTTATTGTAGTCTTAGCAATTGGTAGTATAATGTGTTTCAGTTTCTCCCAAGGTCACAGAATTATCCAGACCAACCAATAACAACTTCCTGTGGGAACCAGGTGCATCTCACCCTCTTGATACTACAAAGCCTTCCCCAACACCCCCTGTTTGTTCTCTCTGCTCCCAAGTGCAATCCCTGTGTGGGTCTGTATACCTTATATAATTTCCTTCTTCCATGATTATATGTAACGAATAACTGCTGTCAATCTCATTTGTCCAATGATTGGTGCCATGGTTTTAACTGTTCCAGTAGTACAAGGGTGGTAATTTATCCCTCACCAATGGGGTAAAGGGGAGGCTAATCAAACAATTCACAATACAAACTGGATTAACCAACTATGACTAAGGACATCGGCTCAACTTTAACTGCTTTTGGCCTACTGATTTCATGATACATTAAAAGTCACCTCAGTCAGAGCCACCAGTTTCTGGTGGGCTTTTGCTTTGGTCTAAATAGCCATTTGTGGCCTTTATCATGAGTTGCCTTCCCTGACCACATTAAAGCACACTCATCACCTAGACATATATGGTCAGTTGACTCTGCTGCAGCCTGATGTGTCATCATATTTAGCCTTTGTTTGGCATGCAGCTTGCAAGACACTTGCCTTTCAAGGCAGTGAAAACACAGAACCTTAATCAGTGAGTACTTCAGTCCTGATTACCAAGAGTCAGGCTATATCCCTGTGGTCACTTCATCTGGTCTGCTTACCATTACTAAATGCCCGGGTAGTCATATGAACATTGCTTATTATTGCACACTCTCAGGAAAGGCCCAGGGACGGTTTTTTGTAAAATTGCAAAAAACAAAAAGGACTTTTACTTTGGAGAGAATTATGCACGTCACTCAGTTGCTCTAACAAGTGCTACCGTCATGGGAGCAAGAACAGTGACCTTGTCTTTCCTGAGCTGCCGCTTCCTTTGCTCCTGTCACATGCACTCTCACGATGAGGGGCTCATTCCTTGTGCCTTATGGTTCAGGCACTGATGAGAAATAAAAAAGAGAAAGATAACTTAATATTAGTCCCTCCCAAAACTTACTGGGTAATTCTCTCATCCTAAATCCCCTACTCATCGTGTAGGCTTTTAGCACTGCTGCTTACCAGTATGCTAAAGGTGCAGACTTAGGATCAGAAGTTTGATGAACTCAAACAAAAAGACCACAATGCATATGGGTGCTAATCCCAGTGAAATGGAGTGGCAGTAAACACCTTCAACCAAAGAGAAAACAGATCACAAATAAACAAATAATGACACAACTCAAGAAACTAGAGGAGGAAGAACTTATCCCAACGTTCCCAGATAATAAAATTAGTAAAAAAAATCGGAGCAGAAATGAATACACTGAAGATTAGAAAAACAATAGAAAATGTAGAAAAATTGTAAGAGCTTGTTTTATGAAAACATGAAGTTGGCATATCTTTAGCTAGACTAAGAAATAAATGCTTAAATAAATAAAATCAGAATTAAAGGGAATACATTACAACTGGTAAAACAGAAATAAAAAAAGGTCATAAGACTGCTATGTACACAGACTCCTATGTACAATGATATCCCACCAAATGGGATAAGGGAGAAGACATGAATACATTTCTAGACAAGTACCACCCACCAAGACTGAAGCATAAAGAAATAGAAAATATGAATAGATCAGTAATGGGTAAGGAGTTTAGATCTGATGACTTTGTTGCTGAATTTTACTAAACATTTAAAAAGAACCAAATCTTTGAAAAAATTGAAGGAGGAGGAATACTTCCAAACTCATTTTATGAAGCCAGCATTACACTGATACAAAAACCAGAGATGGACATTACAAGAAAAACAATTACAGGCCAATATCCCTGATGAACATAGATGAAAAATCATCCGCAACGTAGTTGCAAATGAAATTCAAAAGCACTTTAAAAGGATCATTTATTATGATCAAGTTGGATTTATTCCTGGGATGCAATAATATTTTAATATGTGGAAATCAATAAATGCCATACTCCTTATTTACACAACAAAAAGATTAAAAATCATGACTTTTTTATGCATGCCTAAAATTATTTTGACAAAATTTAAAATCCATTCCAAATAAAATCTATAACAAATTAGGTATAGAAAGAATATACCTCAAAATAAAGAGATATGTTCTTTATAAGCTATAGGACAATCCCATGGTTAACATTATTGTCAATGGTGAAATTTTGGAATTGTTTTTAAGATTTATTATAAGAAAAAGATGCCCACTCTCACTACTTCTTTCAACACCGTATTGGAAATCCTGCTCAGAATCTAAGACAAGAGAAAAAAGAGCATTTAAATAAGAAACAACAAGTTCTTCTATTCATGGAGATTAACGCTCAGGTTTTTGCAGATTAGATTTAACAGCATGAAATCTGTACCATCCAGGAATCAAAGGATATAGGACTTTAGGGCATC
Organism: Homo sapiens; assembly: GCF_000001405.40. Taxonomy (NCBI): domain Eukaryota; kingdom Metazoa; phylum Chordata; class Mammalia; order Primates; family Hominidae; genus Homo; species Homo sapiens. The sequence goes on from NC_000016.10 coordinate 33,303,273, forward strand.
AATTATTAAGAGGCTATAGGAAAGCAGAAATGCTCCTGGATGTTTCCATTGTCCACACACAAAATTTCAACAGACCAGCCCCAGGAAGTAAAGGCACATTCCTGACTACTGTTAGTTGATGAGCTTTTCACCAAAAGCAGAGATGTGAGACCTGGCAGGTTTCAAAGACCCCTCAAGTGCTCCATACCTTGAAATTCACTTCCACAAAGCTAGAACACCATCTGTTCCTGAGGGATCAGGTTATCGTCTGTTTCTTTTAGGCACTGGCCAGTCAGGCTTTAGTGGACACGAAGCCACAGATTTTTAGTGTAAAATGCCTAATCTATCATAATCTTTAGGTAGATATTTGGAGGCCTGCACACTTAAATGGGTTGGTGAAATGTCATACCAGACACATGGCTGGGAATTGGGTTTTTCTCCTCCGCTCTTAGCAGCACCTTTGTAACCCAGTGATTACCCCCCTCATGGCTCCACGGCCACATCCGCAAAAAGGGTACTGGTGAACGTGACATTTTCACGAAGCCACAGCCCATGGTCACTCCCTGCAAAGCTCTGAACTTGCGCATTCCCAGGCCAGGCCGTGGTTGTCTTTCCAAGGCGGCTCAGCTTGTGCTTTGCTTGGAGAGAGCGGAGGGCAGCAGCACAGTGACAGCGTCTGGGACCTCAGACCAGTTTCCACAGCCACTTATGAAAGCAGACGGCTCCATGGGCTGGAGGAGGTGGGACGCTCTGGAAAGAACTCGGGTGCGAGTGGGAAAGAAAATCGAGCTGAGCAGCTGGAAGTCGAAGTCGCGTGAGTGAGGACCAGACACTCTCGATTTAGGCAAAGGCGGGGTGCACTTCCCAACAACACATCCTCCTCACTGGCGAGACCAGGCCTGCCCTTCAAGTTCCTCTCCTGATTTAATCCCCTTGGCGAGGGTTTGGCATGAAATCAATGGCCAGCAAGCTTGGTAAACGAAGCCGCCTACACCGCCCTCCCCCTCCCTGCACGGCCGCGCCCCGCCTCCGCTCCTGTCTCAATCTGGGATTGTCCTCCTGTAGCCCCACCATCCACCGTGGGGAACGGTGGAGAGACTACAACTCCCAGTATGCACCGCGATGCGCGCCTCACCCTGCATCTCCCAGCCCGCAGCCAGCTGGCATCCTAGACCCTCTGCCCTGCGACCAACAGCCGGGAGCGGACCAGACACCAGAACTCCCGGAACGGTTGAAGACGGTTCCGCTCCCTGTCCCGCCTTTCGCAGCCCAGCAGTTTCGCCCTGCGGAGAGGAGCCTTGCTGTTTCCAAATCTCTCCTGCTGAAGAGACATTGGAGCTAGGGCGGCTAGTTTCACCTGGTAATTGTGACACCCTGTCTCCTCGAGCTGCAGGCTTTTATGCTTGTCATGTTCGAAGTTTGATACCTTGCAGATCAACAAAGGGCCGGTGGCCTCTCACTGCCTCCGCGGCAGGGTTGTCAAGGTAACGCTCCTCAGACAAGGGTGGGGCGCGACCCGCCCCTTTTCTCACCCCGCCTCCTCCTCAGCCCCACCCTCCTTCGCTCCTCCTCTTGTCACTCCCTTTCAGACATGCGCAGTGCGGCCCGTCCCTAGGGCTGGGTTAAGGGCCGCGGATGTGGCAGTTCTCAGGCCTCTTGGGATCGCCTCAAGAAGCCCCCTCACGAGTGTCTCGATTTCCTGTCAGCCAACAAAGGGCCGTTCGCCTTTCATGGCCTCCACAGCAGCGTTGCCGTGGTAACGATCCTCCGCCGGACGTTGGCCGCACCGCGCCCCTATTCTTGCCCATCTCCCGCTCCGCCCCGTCCCTTCTCGCTCCTCCCTCTTGTCACACCCGTTCAGACATGGGTAGTGTAGCCCGTCCCTAGCGGCGGGATAAAAGTCCTGCCCTTTCACACATGCGCAGTGCACCCATTCCTAGGGGTGGGGCTAAGGGGCCTGCCCTTTCGGAAATGCGCAGTGCAGCCCGTCCCTAGGTGTAGGGTAATGGCGGCCGACCTGGAGGCTCCTTGGGATCCCCTCGAGAAGCCCGTTCATGAGTGTCTGAAACTGTCACTTGACTGCCAGAAGTGAAAACATCGTGTCCCTAGTCACCTGCCATTTGCCTTTTCAAAACCATTTCCTCTGTTCTCTAGGCTGTCACAAATCCTCTGCACCCCAGGAGCGCCGCTTGGACCCCCGGGCTCGCTGCGTGGTCCATATCTAGGTCGGGCCTCTCACGGAGACTTTCCCACCAGTGTAATAAAGAGGAGAAAACGTCACAGCGGAAGGGCCTGACCCTGCTGCATCCACTAAGGAAACAGCTACGGGGATGGGACCCTGGGAGCTGCTGTGGAGCCTCATCCACCGCTTCTCTGACCCCACCCAGGCTGCTTCCCAGGCCTCAGGGTCTTAGTGTGGACCTCCGGGCCGTGATTAATGCAGGTCAGCAGGACCAGAGCGCCCCTTGGTCCCTCCCAACACATGAGGGTAGTTTGTGTGGTGAGGTCAGGGATAGTGTCTGCGCTTCTACCCTGAATAGGGCTCCCTTGGAAAATACTTTAATATCTCTTTTTAAATACCCCCTTGGACCACTTTTAATAGTTTTCTGATAGAACTAAACAGTGATCATTCTCTTAATTCATGTTTCCATTAAGTTTTTCAGGTTAAGTACTGCACGACTACTCGCTTCTGAAACTGATAGACACTGCCTCAGCTCCGTGCAGGGCAGACGCACAAGAGCAGAATCTCCGTGGGACATCTCTCTGGAGCATCAATATTACTGCAGTATTTGGAAGAAACAAATTTAAATAAGTTCTAAGGTGAAGAATGGAACATTTAAGACAAGTCTGGAAAGTCATCTGCCTTTAATAACTGTCGTTTGTCCTTAACGTCAGACTTTCTCCAAGACCAAAACTCTAAGAACTTATTTCCATTCTTACAAATAGTAAAAATGATAAATCATATCAAGTCAATTGAAAGTCCTGCCTGCTGCTTTCCTAAATTGCAATATGGCCTTGGTATGGTTTTATTTGTACTTTTGTGGGGGATTCGTGGATCTTTAGATTAAAAAAAAAAAAATAGGTTTTTGAACAATTTTTGCAAGTTTGCAGCTGTTAGTTATTGATTTATTTTTCCAACCCATCTAATTCTTCTGTCTCTCTCCTCAGGCTCAATAATTCCATGGGTCTCTAAGGCTGTGTTTATTTTCTTTAAATTTTGTTGATTTACTTTTATACTCCATTTGATTTTTTCTATCTCTCACCTTTTCTCAGACTCAGTCATCCCACAGGTCTGTAAGGCTCTGTTCATTTTCTTTAAACTTCTTTTTTTTTTCCTCTCCTCAGATTGGATAAATTATATTGCTATGTCTCTGTTTCTGAACTATAGAAAAGCTCAAAATTATTATTTTTATTTCTCATTTTTTATATGGCTATTTTTTCTCTGCTGATGTTTCACATCTATTCATTTATGAGAATATTTTCCTTTGCCCTCATGAGCGTGTTTATAATAGCTGCCTTCAAATTCTTGTCTGCCGTTTACATCTTGGACATCTTGGAGATGGCTACTGCCTGCTTTTTATCTTGTGTATTTATTACATTTTCACGTGTCTTCACGCATCCCTTGAATTGGAAATTGTGCCCTGGAGACTGTATACAAGACTGGATTAAAAAGACTGGATTCTGTTTTGTCCCTGTGAAGAGTGTTGTTTTTAAAAGATGGTGTTAAATGGGCTGGATTCTATCTTCAATACTTATCTCTCCTATGGAAGTCATAGCCAAAATATGCATTCAGTTTTTATATACACATATTTCATGTATGTATTGTATATAGAAATGTTTCTATAATGATATATAATAATTTACCCAGGATTCATCATTTTTCTGTGTGAGAGTGTTAGTTCAGTTAGCTACTTCATCATTAGTGGAAGCCAGAACCTCAGTTTTGATTTTTGAGTGTAATATAAAAAATTACACAGTATGGATACTTTTACATCAATTTTTTAATGCAATATTATATTTGTGATATTTATGCTGTTACAGATATCTACAGTTTGTTCATTTAAAAAAGTCCTTTTTTACATTGTGGTAAAATATACATAAAATTAACCATTTTAACAATTTTTAAAAGTGCAGGACAGAGGAATTAATCATACTCACATTGTTCTACAACCATCATCCACATTCATAGGGAAATTTGTTCATTTTGCAAAACTCAAACTCTGTTCCCGTTACCTTCCTTTTGGCCTCTAGGAACTACTCTTCTACTTTGAGTTTCTATGAATGGAACTACTGTAAGTACCTCATATGAGTGGAATCATACAATGTAGTAAAGAAGTCACGAGGAAGAATAATACACACTGTATAACATGCTTATTAATTTAAATAAACAGAGATCAGTAGTACATGGTGATTATAGAGAAAGACAGATAAAAAAGAAAAAGCAGTTAGAAGGGTGTGTAAAATTTATCACTATGGTGTCTCAAGTTTTAGAGCAGTGAGGCCCCGGCCCCAGACACATTACTGGTCATGGTGAAGCTGGGAGCCCAGTGCAGCTGTCTGACTCCCAAAGCCAACACTCAGGCCAAATGTCACTGAGCCCTGAGGCACTCTGCCCCTGCCAGCCCAGGCACTCAATGGCCCTGAGATTCACCATGGCCTGTTCTTGGTCTTGAGGGTGTTGCTGGCCTGCTGGAATAGGGGCCCGTCTGACAAAACAAGTAGGAGGAGCTTCAGAAAATAGTGGCAGCTGTGAGGCTACCAGGAGCCACACCTCAGGCTTCCCACTGCCTGCCCAGGGTCCCCATGCAGCAGGCCTAATGTTGACCAGGGAGCTATGGCCCCAGGTTCTCTGAAGCTGGCCACAAGATAGAGTCTTCTCCTAGTCTTTGCTAATCTGCTAGGCCCTCATCTTTTATTCTGACTGTGCAGCTTCATGCACTGGAACCAAACCCCAAATTCCTCCTCAGTCAGAAGATGACGATTATCTCTTGTCACTGAAGCAGCTGCATTTCCTGGAGGACTTTGATCTGGAGACAGAAGGAAGGGCAGGATTCTGACAGGTCCTGGGTGGAAGATGACAAAGGGAACTTGTGGGGGTGTGAAGGGGTAGGGACAATTTCTAGGGCCTTTCTTTTAAGGGGTCCTACCCTCCCCTCCAATCCCATGTAGCCCCAACCTGTTCTCAAGAGTTGGATATAAACAGTCCCTCCTCTAGGAGTTTATCATTGATTCTATTCCCCTAATCAAACCCTCCATTGGGATGGGGCTCCTGCTTCTCTGTGTATCAAACCTTCCCAATAAATCTAAGATGCAGAGGATGGAGCCAAGGAGTGTCTTCCTCAGGGTGGTGTCTGACTTTCACATCCCCACCCTCCCTCAAAGCGACAGCGCCAGCTGCTCACCTTCTTCCTTTATTAGTGTTGATTATATGTTCTTAGGAGGTAGACAGCCAAGATTCATGAGAAAGGCTTCCTGACACAGGACTAGACCTCATCCCTTATACTTCCTATGCTGCACCACCACCAGGGCCACCAGGGTCAGAGCATGTGCATAAAACAGGACTTAGACCTGCATCAGGTTCTGGGCTCCACAGAAGGGACACTGAGGCTCAGTGACCTTTCTCCCTGATTCTCTGTGATGATAGGGAGACAAAGGCCTTGGAAACAAAGAAGTTACTCAACAATTTAGGACCTGCCTGTCTTAGGAGGGGCCCAATTTCTCTCTTCTGCAATGGGTACCAGCTAAGGCAGAGGCTGAGACTTAGCTCTGCAGCTTTACTACTCAAGGAACAGGAAATGGTGTCTTTGCTGGAGGCTCCGTCACTCATAGATAAGACGGAACTGACACTGCCATTTACAGGGGCATCTGGTAGGCTCTCAGGAAAGGGGTTTGCTGAGTGCTGCAGTCTCAGGATTCAGTCCAGGACTCTGTCCTCGCAAGCTTCAGGATCCTGGTCCCCACCCTGCCTGCCTGCCCCAGTCTCACTCACATCTCTATAATCCTCTATGGCAATTTCCAGCATCTGCAGGTTGTTGAGAAGTGTGCCCGGGGTGGGGGGTGGGGGGGGAGGGGAGTGGGGGCACAGCAGCCTGTGTTATCAAGGTGGTAGCAGTGATGAGCACCAATTCTCAGCTAACTGCACAAGACCTCTCCTTTGAACTCTCACCAACCTATTTCTCCTTGACCCCCGTACCCAAGTCTCTCACTCAGAGCATCCAAGGACCTTTCACCTCCTTGCCCAAAATCTTTCCCTCCTCTTTCCACAGCTGACCTCCAAAGACGCTAAGCACTTCTTAGTTACCTCTATGGTGTGATTTTAATAAATCACAAAGTCAGATCGTCCCCACCCTCACTCTTCGTCTAATCTACTCTGAGCCTAGCTCTCCCAGGCCCTTTCTCTAGTCTCTCTAATGAAGGCATTCCAAGCATTGTGGCCACAGGAGGGCAGGGCTGGAGGAGGAAGACACCCAGGTCTCTTGATGTGGAGAACTCCAGCTGGGAGGGAGGAGCCCTGTCCTTGACTCTCTGGAGCCCCTCCCTACCATAGGCCAATTCACCTGCTGCTGCAGCCCCATCTGGACTCTTTAAAAAGGTTCCTACCTAGTAGAGTCAGAAACAGGGTCAGTGAGACTGTGCCTGTCTCACAGTTACACTCCAGCCCCAGCGACCTCAGATCTTGGATAACTGCCTGAGTCAGCCGGTGTAATGCTCCCACCAGCTCCAGTGAGTCCTGATTCTAGATTTACTCCCAGCTTTAACACTCACTGTGTGTGTAACCTTGGGCATGCAGCCAGGCCTTCCTGAAACTGTTTTTTCATCTAGGAAGTGTGATGAGAACAACACCTTCCTCACAGTACCTCCTGAGGACTCAGTTGCATGTGGCTATCACCATTGTTCTCACCATCATCCCTCTCAGGAAGAGGTGGGCACAAGAATTCTGAAGTTTCCTTCATCCTTTGCCCCTTATCATGACCCTGTGAGGCCTGCACAACAGGCTTTCTGCATTTTCCAGTTGAGGAGACAGGCCCAAAGAGGGTGTTGACTTGCCCAGGAGCCCACAGGAGAGGCTGTCTTCTCCTCCCACCTGAAGAGTCTGCCCTACCTGGCTTCACACCACACACCAGCACCATCACTGACCAGGGTCCCATCCTCTGGACTCTGGGATAGATGTTCACATCCCAATCCAGGCCCAGCTGTGGTGGAAAGAAACCTGGTATCTTGGGAGGCCTGGTTGAGCAGTGCCAGCTTGTCCCAGCTTCACTGGAATTGCTATCCCACAAATTGGGTTTGAGGCTATGAAGAAGACTTCACCTCTTCGATGATCCACCGAGAGAGATTCCCACACAGAGCTCTCTCTTTATCCACTCCCTGCAGTTGGCCTGCCAGTGAAATCACACCTGTGCAGTAGTCAGGCCTCCTGGCCCACCCGCCAGCTGCCAGCCTCCAGTGTCTCTGATACCCATGGGTAATCATGCCTTCCTTGGCAAGGCTGCTGAGATTCAGAAGGACCTAAACAGATCTTTGGCTCAGATGGGTTGCTTCAGCCTTGTGTCCTTGGCCATCTTCCCTTGCCTTCCGAAGGTCCCTGCCAGCCTCACTGTACCAAGCCCTGACCCTAGCGGTCTCTCCGTGGGGACCACATCTCACCCACCCTCCATTGCCAGGGCTCCTGCTCAGCTCTTCTCACTTTCCCAGGACAAGCCTGGCTTCACAGACACATCTAGATCCAGCGCTTTTCTCTTTGTGGTGTTCAAAGAAAGAGTATTATTTTTTTCTCTAAATTGACCTATAACCTACTTATTTTGAAGATGTCCAGGCTGCAGGAGATCTCTACCCATCTACCCAGAAGGCATCAGCCCTTGCTTCAGTACCTTCTCATTCCACTCTGTCACTAAATGTTTATGACCTCAAGAAAATTTGAAGAAGCATAAGCAAGTGCAATTCCATTGGTACCAGGGCTGTAAGGGCGGGGCCAGATGGGTGAACCTCACTGGGGATAAATAGAAATTGTGTACAAGATGGACATTTCAAGGTTGGTTTCAAGAAACGCAGGGAAAACTAACTTTCATAGGTGACAGTATGCACAAGTTAAGCTTCCTAACAGCCACAAGTTCACAGGTTCTTCTATCTAAATGTGGCAATGTGTGACGATGTCTGAATGGCCATAATACACATACATAGAGTAATTTATAGCATTCATTTTTGTATTAGAAATTGTGCATTTCAGCCACAAGTTTTTTATACATGATGGATAGTCCCACATTGCTTGAAGATTGGAAGAGAGAGCACTTTATGAAATGTCCTTTTGGACACATTTTCATTGACGTTTCTATGTCCCAAGAGGCAATGAGACAAGTCATGATAAACTGGCCGTGTCTTCTGGGGTTACACCTGAACTTCTTGGTGTCAGGACCGAGGAAACCAAGGACACAGATATGCCAAAGGTGAGGTTAGAGCAAAAGTTTAATGGGTGAGAAAAAGAGAACAGCTCTCTGCTGCAGAGAGGGATCCAGAAAAAAAGAGTTGCCATTCTGCAGTGAAATACAAGTGTTTTTATAGATGAGCTAGTGGGAGGGGGTATGTTATCCACATAGGGCATGAAAAAGTGGTTAGGACCAGGTGTGTCATCTGCTTAGAGCATGAATCTCTGGCAGCTCACACCCCAACCTTTTATTATGCAGGCAGATTCTCAGCCTGAGCTACTCCAAGTTGCTTATCTCTTTTCTACTGTGCATATGCTACAAAGAGGGGTGGGGCCCCCCATGTTGGATATGTCTGGCCCAAGGTGGTCATTTCTACCCATGCAGCTGCAGGCATCCCTGCCCACACAAGCTTCCAGCTTCCTTTTGTATGATTGCAGCCCAATTTTCCAGGCTGCTCTTTGTTAAAGAGAAGTGAATTCCTGGGTTGCTTTCTGTTAGAAGGGACGTTCTGTTGAGAACTCTTTGCTCTATCTGCCTAGCTAGTTTCTTTCTACATCTGCTCTCAATGACAATTATTCAGTTTTAATGGGGTCCTGGGGGTGGGAACAGATAAATTTGAGACCACAAAGTACCTTAGAATAAGAATTCACCCTTTAGTCAGCTTTAGTGTGAGTTGCACATCTATTATAATATTGGCTTCATGCACTACTGAATATAACAAGAAGGGAAAATGTGTATCTTTTAAAAATCTAGATGACAAATGGACTTTCCACAGATTCTTTGTGTGTTCCTGATTTAGAACTTGTTCATTCCACTGTAGTTTGTTTTCATTGAAATCACCAACTGATGAGGAAGCCTAGGCTGGCAAGCAGGACACGGTGGATTATTTGCAGGAAAGGTGTTTTTGTGGGGACCCTAAAGGGTCAGGCACTGCAGCCCACAGGAAAGCCTCAGCCATGATTCTCTGTGGCGTTGCCCTGGTGGGGTAAGGCAGCCATGCAAAGCTCTGATTCCCTGTCCTGAAGGGTGACATTGGCCGGGCAAGCCCCAGCCTTCAGGAAAAAAGGACAGACAAGGGAGTGCTTCACGTTCCGGCCTTGTTCCGGCCTTGTCATGAGCTCCACCGGCAGCCTGCAGTGGGGCACAGCTTCTAGGTGCCTGGTCAGCTCTGGTCCTTCAGGAGGTGAAAATGACTTTTCTCCTGGATTCTCTGCCCTGTTGGCTGGGCCTGGGAAGGACTCAAGGTCTGCATGGCAGTTTCTGAGTCTCCAGCACCCAGCTGTCTCATTGTGATGATGACAGGGAGAATGGCCAGAAGTACCGGGGTGGGGAAAACGAAGAGCCAGCAGGAGAAGGCGAGCTTCCAGAAAGCCCCACCACAAATGCTTAGTGCCTGGGTAGGCACAGGGATTGCTGGGTTTTGCCTGGGAGCAAGTCCATAGGCCCTGCTGGAGATTGCCAAGATAACCACCCCCTGCCAGAGGTCACCAGGGATTGCCTGAAAACCTTCGGAAATGGTGCATGCCCCTATTGCTCAAAAACTGGAAGAAGCTGCAGCCTCAGCAGGTTATCCAGGCCACTGAGTGGGGCAGCGGGCCTACACTGAGTGCACTCCTACATTGGCAGTAGGCAGCTCTCCTGACCCATCCACCAGCTGTCTGCCTCCAGTGAGCAAGATCTTCAAGGCTGATCAGACCTCCAGTTGGCAGGGCTGATGAGATTCAGTGCGACCTGGTCAGATCTTTGGCCCAGATGAGTCACTTGAGTTTCAGTGTCCTGGACCAACTTTCCTGGACTTCAGAGGGCCCCTGCCAGCCTGAGTGAGCCAGGCTTGGCTGCATCTTCCTGGGAGCCCCATCTCACCTGCCCTCCATCCCCAGGGCTCCTGCTCAGCACTTCTTACTTTCCCAGGACAAGCCTGGCTCCAACAGACATCTCTAGATGCTGTGTTTCTCTTTGTGGTGAGCAAAGAAACAGAATGAGTTCCATTTTTTAATTTTTTTCTAATTTTACCTATAACTTATTTATTGTAAAAAGGTTTGGGCTGCAGGAGACCTGACCCACCCACGCAGGAGGCCTCAGTAGCCTCCCAATCCACCCTGTTACTAAATATTTCCACTCCTAACAATATAGGGGGAAGCAGGAGCAAGTGCAGTTTCACTGCACCAGTGCTGTGAGGATGGGGCCAGAAGGGTCCTGCCCAGTAGGATTCAATAGGAATTATATAGAAATAAACATCTCAATGTTTGTTTGGACGGATTGACATGGAGAAATTTAATTTTGATAGGTTCTAGTACACAGAAGTTAAGCTTCCTAACAGCCATGAGTTTACAGCTTCCTCTTTCTGAATTTGGCAGTGTTTTTTGATGTCCAAATTGCCACGATGTCCACACATATTTACAATAGTTTATATTATTCATTTTGTATTACTAATTGTGCACTTTGGCCAACAGTGTTTCATACATCATGGTTGGTTTCCAACCTTGCTTGAAAATTGGAAGTGACAGCCCTTTATGGAATGTTGCTTTTGACACTCTTCCATTTAAGGCTCTGTGTCCCCACAGTGCTACGAAGACAAATAGTCATCACTCTTCCATTTTGAGGGGGCCAGGGTAAGCAGGTGCAATTTGAGAATACAAAGTACCTTGGAAACAGAATCATCTTTCAATCAGTTTTAGTGTGAATTTCATTTACATTAGAATAGCCTGTTCATGCACTCACAAGATTTCAGGGAGGGACAATTGTCACCTTTGAAGAATCAAAGTGACCAACGGGCTTCCCTCAGTATTTTGTTTATTTGTTTCTGGAACTTAGTCATGCCATTGTAGATCGTTTCTTTTGGAATCACTGGGTGATGAGAAACCCCAGGCTGGAGAGCTGGACACCGTGGAGTCCCTGTGGGAGAACTGTTATTAGGGTGGCCTAACTTGGAAGGCACTACAGCCTGTGGGAAAGCAGCATCCAAGATTCTCTCTGGCGTGGCCGGGTGCTGGGTGAGGTAGCCAGCCCAACAGCTTATTCTGTTTCTGGAATGGTGACTCCCAGCCTGGGCATGGCTTCAGTTTCCAGGAAACAGGCATGGGCCAGGGAGCGCCTTACCTGTTTACTGCTGCGATGTGTGGGGCCTGTATCCGCCACTGGGCACTCCACCTCTTCAAGTGGGGTCCTGTGCATTCCTTTTGGAGGCTTCAAAAGACTTTCCTCTCTGACTCCCGGCGTCTTCACCTGGACACTGTAGGACCCCAGATCTGTGTGTTTCCCAAGTGTCTATAGCGCCAGGTGCCCCATTGTGACAGGGAAGATGACCAAATTAAGTGATTAGGGCCGTTTGAAAAAAAAGCAGGAGAGATGCTGTATGGAGGAGGCCTGACATGACTGCCTCTAGCCTGCGGCTGCTGGTGCCATGCGCAGGCCGGACTGGTCTCTGCCAGGGTGATGTGATCCGTTGTGCTGAAGATTCTCACCATTTCCTTCCTTTCCCCATCGGGGACACCTGGGTAACCAGCTGAAGCAGTAGTTCCCCATCCGGAACAAAGACTGCAGACCCTCGCATGGGCTCCAGCCTGCAGGACACAAGCGTGAGCCTTGGAGGACCCCACATACCTAGGTGGTTGTGGGCTAGACCTGTGGCCTTCGCTGGGTTCTTGACTCATTTCTGGAGTGCGAGGGTTTTGTTCTTTTTCAACTGGAGGTGGCAGATGACTGTCCTTCTGGACTTCCTATATGCTCACCTGACCCCTGCGGGACCTGAGATCATTGGGGTTCCCAGGTCTTTATGGCATCACGCCCCCATTGTGACAACAAGGAGGATGACCAAAAGTATGCCGGTGGTTGAGGAAGAGAAAAAAGAGGAGTGGAGTTGCAGGGAGGAGGCTCGAAAGGATCACCTCCAGCCTGGGGCAGCTGGATTGGCGAGTCAGGGGCTGGCTCCTGCCTGGGCAAGACAATAAGCCATGATGAACAATGCCATTATCCTCCTTTTCAGTTGGGGGTACCTGGGCATATCTGAAAACCTTGAAAAAGTGTTTGCATTTTCACAGCTTAAGAAAAGGAAGCAGCAGCAGCTACAGTGGGTTTTTCATGCCTTCCAGTGGCATTGAAGAACCTGCACTGAATGCCACCTGGAAAACAGCCTGGACCTGCACCTTTGGGCCGGGGCACCCGTGGGAGCTCAGCCCTTGCCGCCTCAACCCTTTTTGGATTCTTTTCTCCCCAGACTGTCCCAGAGTTCAGGTCTTCTCATCTCTTGTCTGCCCAGTGAAGGCACAAGGGTGGAAAGGTGAGGGTGTGGAGTCAGGAGCTTTGTTCCAGTGCTGGGCATAGTGAGAAGTCAAAAGAGAGGTTATGATCTCATTGTGCTTGAAGGGGAGAGGCCAAAGCCTAAGACATTCTGCCTTTTTAGGGGAATTACCTTTCAAGGCTTATTTGGTCTTCACTAGCCTTTACATCTGAGGATGAAGGAGTTGAGGCTCTGTTACATGGATGTCTAAAGAGATCATAACTCTCACATTGAACGACACAGAGACTGATAGCTCTAGCACAGTACCTAGGTAATGTGACTCTCTCTTGCTACGTGTGCCCTTCCTACATAAGGAAATGTGACATACCACTGGGCCAAGCACCCAGGAAATGTGACTCTCCCGCCTGTGGCCTGCCTGTATTGGGCAATGTTGTGACACATCTCAGAGCTGAGCACCTAGGTGATGTAACTCCTTTTTTGGGAGCTGTCAATGGAAGGGATTGTGACATATGTTTGGCCAATCACCTAGATGATGTGACTCTCTTGCCTATAACTCAAATTGGGGAGAAATTATATCTTGACAATATTGAGATTTTATGATCATGCACATTAAATGTCTTTCTATTTATTAAGATCTTTTGTGATCTTTCATGGCTCTTTCATTAGAAATTTGTAGTTTCCATTGTATATAGATCTGTGTGTCACAAAGGTCTATATGACAAAACTGAGACAAAGACAAACTGACGGATTCTTCCAGTTTTTGTGGATGGCTCTGGGCTGGGGCGTTCCTTTAACACATGTGCAGACTGTTGAAAACTTTGCTTCAGTCTTCACTTTCTGCTGAGCTGAGCCTGAAGGTCAGCCAGTGCTGAAAATGAGGGTCTTCTTGGGTCTTTAAGAAAATGTGTTTTTCGTGGTTATGCACAGAGTGCTTTGTCAATTTGCCAGCATACCTGGGTGCTTTTTAATAGCCTAATTTGTAAAACAAAACAAAATCTCACGTTAGCTTTTTATTCTTGGCTTTATGTGACCTATTGTATGTGTCGTCTGTAATCTGTTCTCCAGGGGGCTGCTGGCTTTCAGTTTCCTTAAAATACTCCCAAGTAACTCGTGCCAATTTTTTAAACTGATTTTTTTTTCTGACTTAGAGAAAAAAGAGAGCCTTGTTTCAGACCTCTGGATAGCCCTAATACAGATTTTAATGTAACAACACAATACTTTGCAAGTAAGACCTCCTCTTTTCCCTCTGGAACCACTGAGCAGAGGCCCATACTGGCAACTCAGGATGTTGTTTTTAAGACTGCCATCAAGTAAGGGAAGGATTTGGGCAAGGACGTGTAAAAAGTCCACGAGGCTTTTCTCCTGTTCTTCATTGTTTTTCTTGATTTTGTAGTTACATGGTTGCTGTACAACTTGATGGTTTTCAACAGGTTTTACAACATCGTTTCTGACAGTTCTGCTTGGTTTTCCCTGTTTCTGTGGAGGAGCAGGTGTTTGGAGCTGTACATTCTTGACATTTTGCTGATTTTACTCTCTCTGGGTTCTCAGTTGTATTTCATTGATCTAAATGACTTTCCTTGTGTCGTTACTACACCATCTTGATTAAGGTTGCTTTGAGGCAAATTTTGAAGTTGTAATTTGTGAGTCCTTTTATTTGGCATCTTTTTAAAGATTTTTAAAGATATTCTTAGTCCCTTTTAATTTTATATGAATTTCAGCATCAATGCTTCAGTTTTTACATGGTAGTCACCTTGAATTCTAATTGTACTGAATCTAATTGTACTGGATGTAGACTGTTTGGGGAGTTATTGTCATCATAATGTATTAAACCTACTGATTCATAAACATGGAATGGTTTCTCATTTATTTAGATCTTCAACCTCTTTCGATAAGGTTTGTAGTTTTCAGATTATAAGTTCCTTTCACATTTTTAAAAATTTATTTCTATGATTTATTATTTAATTGCTATTGTAAATGGATTTGTTTTTGCCTCAACTGCATTATTAGATATTTCATTGCAAGTGTATAGAAGTAGAATTGATTTTTGTATAATAATTTTGTACCTCTGACCTTGGTGAATACATGATCTTGGTTGCTTCCAAGTTTTGTGAAAACTACAATTAATATTGCTGTAAACTTTTTTGTGCAGGTTTTTGTGTGGACTTACATTTTCAATTCATTTGAGTAAGCTAACCTTTAGGAATTTGTTTGGAGTTCAGAAGACACCACCCTGCCACATAAGATCGAGTTAAGAAAAACTCATTTTGTGCAAATCAAGTTTATATGGGCCTATGATGAGGTTCATGGAAAAGCACTGTGTATAGTTGTGTGAATTTGAGCCCAGTGATTTATTATGTATTAATCTTGCCCTGTGTAGCAGATGTTCTAGGAGGTGCTGCAATGACTAAAACAAAACAAATAATTCTGCCCACTTGAAGCTGATATTCTAGGAAAAAATAAATATATAATACAAGTAAAATAAACAATGTGTAAGATAGTGGTTACTGCTAATGTGGGAGGAGAGTGTGGTAAAGAGAGCAGAGGTCTAAACTGGGTGTCTCTCTGAGCATTTATTTATGTGTTTCAGCTGCTAACTCTGACAGTTAACAAGCTTGCGTGTCTTTGTCTGCGTGTATCCACCTTTATGTGCAGTGAAAAGTCTGCTTTTGTATTTATGCCTGGGTGCTATGTGTGTATTTGCTTTAAAATCACTAATACTTTTATGTTCTTGCCTAATTTCCTAGCTAACAGCTTTTTTTTTACCATGTTGAATAGATGTCGTGAGAACAGACATCTTTGTCTTATTTCTGATCTTAGGTAGAAAGCATTTTGTCTTTTAACATCAAGTATGATGTTAGCTGTGGGGTTTTTATAGATGTCTTACAATATCTTTTCTATTTCCAGTTTATTTAATGTTTTTATCATGAGGAGTGTTGAAGATTTTCAAACCTTTTTACTTTGTATTTTCCCTATATTAATACCTTGCCAGATGTATTATTAGAGTATTGTTATGGAGTATGTTCTATTATTCAGAGTTGTCCTGTTACTCTATTGATAGTGTCCTCTGAGAGACACTATTTTATTTCATTTGTTTGTAGTCTCTATCCCAGTACCACACTGTTTTGAGTAACATGACTGTGAGTAACTTTTGACGTTAGGAAATTTCTCATTATGAAATTAGAGCTCTGAACATTTTTATCTCTTTTTTTTGCGATCGTTTTGACTATTCTTGGTTCCTTGAGATTTCACTTGAATTTTAGAATGTTAGTTTCTGTTTCCATTTAAAAAAAGTTATTGGGCTTTTGATTGGGATTGCACTGCATTTATAGATAATTTTAGGAGAAATTGCCACATTAGTACTTTTAAGAGAGTTTCCAAGATGGCTTACTGGATGCAGCCAGCAAGTGTTGCTCCCAAAGAGAAAGACCACAATTTTGACTACATCAACATAGTTTGAATAGATATTTGGAGAGAAAATGGATAGTGTGGATGGAGAAAAGGTGCGTTTTCTAAGACTGAAGAGCAAGGAAGCTGGGGTGCCCTTATGGGGTGCCTGAACGCTATGACTGCTTTTTGGCCCTGAGTGGCATCTGGGGAAGAAGTGAGTAAAGGGACTGGGAGGCTGCTCACTCTCGCTGCAGACCACTGGGATCCTGGCTGCAGGAAACTCCACACCCCCATGGACATGTGAGTTGGCAAGGAGATCTCCCTGGAGAGTAGATGGAGATGGAGCTGTAGCAGGCACAGAGCCAGGACTTTTTAGCATGGGTCGGATCTGGTGGAGCTCAACCATAAAGTCCCACCTCTGCAGCTGCCTATCTCTCTCAGAGGCTTTGGCCCCAGCTAAACTGCAGGGAGAAAGCAAGGCCTGCTTACCCGCAGGACTGGGACATGTCTATCCTGTAGGCATGCCTGTCCACCAGCCTCTTACATGGCCCCTGCCTGGCTTCCTGGGAGAAGCATGTATACATTGTAGTTTCTGCTACCCAACCTGGATGCTTGGCTCCACCTGAATGCATTCTGGCAGCCCAGAAATCCCTCAGATCCCTCACCACACTTGGAACCTGGCCCTAAGCATCAGGAAGAGGGAGTCATAAGCAAGTCGTGGCACTCCAGTGCTGTGGCCTGTGGTTCAGGAGTGTCAAGCTGGGATCTGTGCTGGGCAGTTGAATGGGGGAGGAACCCACACTCTTCAGAAACTGAGAGGCCAGATTCACACAGGTTCACAGGCTGGCGTGGGCCCTAGGCACACCTCCTTCCACAGGGCTGTTATGGTAAAGATGCAGGGTATTTTTCTAGAAGACATCTCCCTGAGGAAGCCCCACAGCTTGAAACACCTAACAACAATGACAATAATGATAATGATAGTAATAGGCCGGGCGCGGTGGCTGACGCCTGTAATCCCAGCACTTTGGTAAGCGGAGGCGGGTGGATCACGAGGTCAGGAGATCGAGACCATCCTGGATAACACGGTGAAACCCTGTCTCTACTAAAAATACAAAAAAATAGTCAGGCGTGGTGGCGGGCGCCTGTAGTCCCAGCTAGCCGGGAGGCTGAGACAGGAGAATGGCATGAACCCAGGAGGCAGAGCTTGCAGTGAGCTGAGATCCTGCCACTGCACTCCAGTCTCTGGGCGACAGAGCAAGACTCTGTCTCAAAAAAAAAAAAAAAAAAAAAAAAAAAAAAGGAGATAATGATAGTAATAATAATGGGCATAGTGCCAGTGATTGGAAGTGAGTCTCTCAAGACTCATGAACAGACCTGTACCACAGAACATAGTTGCAAATAAAGAAGATACACAAAGGAACTGCATGGTAAAGAACCTATCTACATCCCACTGCTCTCAAGTGCTATCTACTGGATCGCAGTAGAGATTACACCACCAAAAATCACTTTACTAATTCTTCCCCTGTGAAACCAAGAGCAAGAATTCAACAACAAAGACACTGTACAGAGTCCTAGTCCTCTGAAAACCTTCAAAAAAAGAAAGCCAATAGACTATACTCAATTTATACCCCAATTAGAGGTATACCAGTTCTCTCAGATGAGAAAGAATTGGCTCAAAATCTCTGGCAATGCAAAAAGCCAGAGTGTCTCCTTCAAGAGAGCCCACTAGTGCCCCAGTGATGGTTTTTAACAGTCTGAATTGTCTAAAATGACAGACATGGAAAAAAGAGCAGGGAAACTCATTTAGATTGAGAAGAAAGTTGAAACTTAACCCAAGGAAGCCAAGCAATCCGGTTAAATGATTCAAAACCTGAAAGATAAAATAGCAATCTTAAGAAATATCTAAACTAAAAAAATTCTTGAGCTGAAAGATTTACTGTGAGGATTTTATAATAAAATCAGAAGTATTTCCAGCAGAATAGACTAAACTGAGAAAAGAATCTCAGAGCTCAAACACTGTTTTATTGAATCAACATAGTCAGACAAAAATAAAGATAAAAGAATTAAGAAAAATCAACATCCCCATTGAGAAATATGAGATTACTTAGAGAACAAATCTACAATTTATCAACATTTCTGAGAGAGAAGGAAAGAGAATAGGCAAGTTGGAAAATATGTATGAAGATATAGTTCATGAAAGTACCTCTAATCTCACTAGCGAGGTTGCCATTCAAATCCAAGAGAACCCCAGTCAGCCCCTAGTCAGATACAATAATATATGACAGTCTGTATTAGTCAGTTCTCACATTGCTATAAAGAAATACTTGATACTGGGTAATTTATAATGAAAAGAAGTTTGGTTGGCTCACAATTCTGCAGGCTGCAGCGGAAGCATGGCAGCATCAGCTTGGCTTATGGGGAGCCCTCAGGAAACTAACAACCATGGAAGAAGGAAGAGGGGGAGCAAGGCATCTTACATGGAAGAACAGGAGCAACACAGAGAGCGGGGAGGTGCTACCCATTCTTAAACAGCCAGATCTCATGAGAACGTTATCGCAAGACAGCACAAGGGGCTGGTGTTAAACCATTCACAAGGATCTATCCCCATTATCCAATCACCTCTCAGCAGGCCCCACCTCCAACATTGAAGATTACAGTTCCACATGTGATTGGGGCAGAATCACAGATCCAAACCATATTGCTATTTCCATGTCACATAGTCATCAGATTCACCAAAGTCAGTGCAAAAAAAAATTTAAGATCAGTTAGAGAGAAAGGGCAGGTTACTCACAGAGTGAATTCCATCAGACTAGCAGCAGACCTCTCAGCAGACTCCTTGCAACCAGAAGAGGTTAGGGGCCTATCTGCAGAGTTTTTAAAGGAAAAAAAATTAACCAATAATTTTATATCCCTCTAAACTAAGCTTCATAGGTGAAAGAGGAAAAAAAAAATTCCTTTGACAAGCAAATGCTGACGTGATACATTTAAACTAGACCAGCCTTACAAGAGGTCTTTAAGGTAGTGCTAAACATGGATTCAAGTGAATGATATCTGCTACCAAAAAAGCTCACTTAAGCACATAGCCCACAGGCACTATAAAGCAATAATGCAATCAACTCTACATAACAACCAGCTAACAACATGATGGTGAATTCAAAATCACACATATCAATACTCACCTAACATGTAAGTAAGCTAAACACCACAGTTAAAAGACACAAAGTGGCATCCTGGATAAAAAGACAGTACCCATCCATCTGTTGCTTTCAAGACACACCCTTTGCCTCAGAGTAAAAGGGTGGAGTGTATTCTACCATGCAAACGAAACAAAAACAAGCAGCAGTCACTATTCTTATATTAGATAAAACAAATTTAAACCAAAAAAAAAAAAAAAAACACTAAGAGGGACAAGAAGAGCATTTTGATAAAGGGTGCAATCTAACAAGAAGCCTTAACTATCTTAAATATATATGTGATTACCACTGGAGCATCCAAATTCATAAAATGACTTCTTCTTTGCCTACCAATGAAAAGAAGAATAACAAGGGCATATTGATAAAGGATAAAATCCTGTGAGAAGCCTTAAATATCTTAAATATATATACACTTAATATTGGAGCACCCAGATTTACAAAATGACTTTTTCTTTCCCCACAAAAAGGCTTAGACAACATCACAATAGTAGTAAGAGACTTCAACACCCTACTTACAGCATTAGACATATCACTGAGGCCAAAAAAAAAAAAAACTAACAGGAAAACTCTGGAGTTAAACTCCACACTTGACCAATTGGACCTAATAGACATCTATTGAAAACTCCATCGAACAACCACAGAATGTACATTTTTCTCATCTGCACAAAAAAAAATTCTAAGTTCAACCACGTGCTCAGTGATAAATAAAGCCTGAATAGATTAAGGAAAAATGAAATCTCACCAAGCACACTGTTGGAGCACAGTACAATAAAAAATACAAATGCATACCAAGATCTCTCAAAACTACAGAAATACATGAAAATTAAACAACTTACTCCTGAATAAATCCTTTGTAAACATCAAAGTAAGGCAGAAATATAAAAATTACTTGAAATTGATAGAAATAGGAACACAACTTACCAAAATTTCTAAGATGCAGCCAAAGCAGTGTTAAGAGGAAACTTTATAGCCCTAAATGCCTTTATCAAGAAGTTAGAAATGTCTCAAATTAACGATGTAACTTTGCACCTAAAGGAACTTGAAAAAAAGAACCAACCAACCCCAAAGCTAGCATGAGAGAAGACATAACAGCAATTAGAGAAGAATTTAATGAAGTTGAGATGCAAAAATGTATACAACAGTCCAAGAAAACAAAAAATTGGTTCTTCAAAAAAAATTGATAAGCTCCTAGCCAAATTAACAAATATAAAAAAGAAAGAGAAGATCCAAATAAGCGCAATAAAAATGACAGGTTATATTAAAATGGATCAGATAGAGATACAAAAGATCCTCAGCGAGTACTATGAACAGCTCTGCACGCAAATTAGAAAATCTGGAGAAAATGAATAAATTCCAGGAAGCACACAGTCTCCCAAGATGGAATCAGAAAGAGATCAAAACTCTAAGTAGACTAATATCAACTTCTGACATTGAGTCAGTACTAAAGAACCTACCAACAACAACAACAACAACAAAAAGGCCTGAAACAGGTAGATTGGCTGCTGAGTTTTACCAGACATACTAAGAAGAAATGATATCAATCCTACTAAAATTATTTCAAAATATCGAGGCGGTGGGGCTCCTTCCTAACTCATTCTTTGAAACCAGCAGTAGCATGATATGAAAATCTGGCAGAGACACTGTGAAAAAACAAAACTTCAGACCAAGATCCCTCATGAACAGAAAATGTAAAAATCCTCAACAAAATACTAGCAAACCAAATTCAGCACCACATCAGAAAGGTAATACACCATGGTCAAGTAGGCTTTATTCCTGGGATGCAAGCTGGTTCAACATATGCAAACCAATAAATGTGATTCACCAGCTAAATAGAATCAAAAGTAAAAACCATATGATTTTCTAAACAGATACACAAAGGTCTTCTTAATAAAATCCAACACTACTTCATGGTAAAAATCCTCAATAGACTAGGCATCCAAGGAACATACCTTAAAATAATAAGAGTCATCTATGGGAAACCCACAGTCAACATCATACTCAATAGGTTAAAAACTTAAAACTATTTCTATGAGAACTGAAACAAGACAAGGATGCTCACTCACAGCACTCCTATTCAGCTTAGTACTGGAAGTCCTATGCAGAGCAATCAGGCAAGAGAAAGAAAAAGTAACGAAACAGGAAAAGAAGTCAAACTATCTCTCTTCGCTGAAAATATGATCCTATGCCTAGAAAATCCTAGAGATTCTGCCAGAAGGCTCCTAGAATTAATAACTTTAGTATAGTCTCAGGATACAAAATCAGTGTAAACAGTACTGATTATGGTGAAATAAGTAGCATTTCCATACACCAACAATGTCCAGGCCAAGAGTGAAATCAAGAACACAATTCCACTTAAAATAGCCACAAAAAAGAGAAATACCTAGGAATACAGATAACCAAGGAAATGAAAGATCTCTTCAAGGAGAACTACAAAACACTGCTGAAAGTCACACACCTACAACCATATGATATTTGACAAGGCTGGCAAGAACAAGCAATGGGGAAAGGACTCCCTAGTCAATACATTCTGGGATAACTGGCTTGCCATAGGCAGAAGATTGAACCTAGACCTTTACCTTGCAACATGCCCCAAAATTAAATTTAAATGGATTAAAAATTTAAGTGTAAGACCTCAAACTATAAAAATTCTGGAAGATAACCTAGGAAATATTTTTTTGACATCAGCCTTGGCAAGTCGTTTTTGGCTAAGTCCCCAAAAGCAATTGCAACCAAAACAAAAATAGACAAGTAGGACTTAATTTGACTAAATAGCTTCTGCACAGCAAAATAAACTATCAACAGGGGAAAGAGGCATCCTCCAGAATGGGAGGAGATATTCACAAACTATGAGTCTAACAAAAGCCTAATATCCAGACTCCATAGGGAACTCAAATCAACAAGCCAAAAAAAAAAAACCATTAAAAAATAAAAAATGGGCAAATGAGATGAACAGATATGCCTGAACAGAAGATATACAAGTGGCCAACAAACATGAAAAATTGCTCAGCATCAGTAATTATCAGATAAATGCAAATCAGAACCACAATGAGGTACCATCTCATGTTAGTCAGAATGGCTATTACTAAAAAGTCAATAAATAACATGTTGGCAAGGCTGTGCAGAAAAGGAAACACTTTACGTCACTGGCAGGATTGTAAATTAGTTCAGCAATCGTGGAGAGCAGTCTCGAGATTTCTGAAAGAACTTAAAACAGAACTACCAATTTACCCAGCAATCCTACAACTGGGTATATACCCAAAAGAAAATAAATCATTCTACCAAAAAGACATATGCACTTGAATGCATCACTGTGCTATTCACAATAGCAAAGATGTGGGATCAATCCAGATGCCCATCAATGGTATATTGGATAAAGAAAACCTGGTATGTATACACCATGGAATACTACACAGCTGTGAAATATAATGAAATCATGTCCTTGGTATGAACATAGGTGGAACCAGAGGCCATAATTTCAAGCAAATTAATGCAGAAACAGAAAGCCAAATACTGCATGTTCTTACTTATAAGAGCTAAACATTGAGCATATATGGACATAAATATGGGAACAGTAAACACGGTGGACTACTAAAGTGTGCAGAGGGGAGGGCAAGTTAATATACTACATATTGGTTGCTGTGCTCACTACCTATGTGCTCCAAACCTGAGCATTATACAATATTCCTACATAACAAATCTGTGCCTGTAACCCCTGAATCTAAAATAAAAGTTGAAATTTTTTAAAAAGTCTTTTCACCTATGAACAGAAGATACTGTTCCATTTATTTGTACCTTTGATTTCTTACAGCAGCATTTTGAAAGTTTTTATTGTACAAATAGTTTGTCATCCTGGTTAAATTGATTCCAGAGCATTTTATTCTTTTTAATACTGTTGTTCATGGTATTGTTTTCTTAATTTCCTTTTCAGATTAATCATTATTGGTGTGCATCAATGCAACTGAGTTTTGTAAGTTAATTTTGTATCCTGCAACATTACTTAATTTGTTTAAACTGTTTTGAGGTGTTTTTCTGTTTGTACAATCTTCAGAATTGTGTGCATACATGATTACTGTGAACAGAGATATTTCTATTTTATTCTTTTTAACATATGCATTTTTGTCTTTATTTTATTTTTGTTATTGCTTAAGCTAAAGTTTTATATACTCTGTTGAGTGGAAGTGGTAAAAAAGAGGAACTATTTTTAGTTCCTGATATTAAGGGAAAACATTTTTTGTATTTCACTGTTGATTATGTTGTGTGTTTGTACCATGAATGAGTAATATCTTGTAGAATGCTTTTTCTGTGTAAATTGAGATATTGTGGTGTTTAACAGTACTAATGCGGTATATTATGATTATTTGTTTATTTATTTATTATTTATTTATTTTTAGAGACAGGATATTATGATGTTGTTTAGACTGCTCTTGAACTCCTGGACTGAAGTGAACCTATCACCTTAGCATCCTGGGTAACTGGGATTACAGGCACAAGCCACTGTGCCTGGCTACATTTATTGATATTTATATGTTAAAGCATCTTTGCACTTCAGTAATAACTCTCAATTAGTCTTGGTAGATAACCCTCTTATTATTCTGCTAAATATATTTTGCTAATATTTATTTTATAGATTTTATATTATTTATAAAGAACATTTTTCTTCAACTTTCTTTCTTGTAGTGCTTTTGTTCATTTTTTATGTCACTGTAATTTTGGCCTACCTCATAGAATAAATTTGGAAGTGTTTCTGCATCTTCAGGTTTTTGCAAGAGTTTGAGGATAATTGGTAATTAATTCTTAAAATGTTTGATAGATTCAGCAGCATAACAGTTTTGTACTTTTTTTTCTGGAGGGGTGATTTTTGCATCAATCTGCAACTATAGGTCTGTTCAGATTTTCTATTTGTTCATGACTCAGTGTCAGTACATTGTGTATTTCTACATATACATGTGTCGACTTTATCAACATTATTCAATTTCCTTGTGGTCTCTTAGAGACTTATTTAACAAGATCTGAGGCATACAGTTCTTTCAGTTGTATTCTGCTACCATGTATTTATTCTGCTGTTGATGTAGTGGTTATGTGAGAGCTTAGGCAAAGCACTCTATTGACTTATGCATTAGCCTCATTAAAACAAATCAAAACAAAACAGTGTATCCCTAGGCTGTGAATTTCATGAGGACTTCTCACTCTTTACCTCTCTTAACTGGATCAAGAAGGTTAGAGGGGGATGGAATTGGGCATTTCTCTTACTCCAGGAAGTCTGGCTCTGGTAAAATCTCAGTTGGTTAGGCTTTTGATACATAGTTTATATTGAAGATAGGAATGTTAAAAAGAAAATTTTCTGGGAATAGTTAAAAATGGCTACATTTCCCTTCCTCCTACTGGAATCAAGAAGCATTTTTTCTATCATCTTCCCTGTAAAAGCCATGTCATGTTTCTGAAAGTAAAGTTCATAAATTTGTATACCCTGAAAATGTTAATTCTCAAACTTTTAGCCATTCATCAATAATGGTTTGTTTTCTTACAACTGTATTTGTTCCCATAGGGGTTTCTTGTGGTTTACTAACCAAGTAAGTTATAATTCTCTGGATGTGTGTGTCCTTCTGTCCAATTTGGGATGGTGATTTGCCCTGTGAACTTATTTTTCTGATAGATGTTAGGAGAATTGCTGGCCTATGTTTCCCTTTTTACTTTCGCTGATGCGAATGTCACCTTCTACGTCCTTACTTGCCAGGCTGACCAAAAGGAACTATCTTCATTTTTTGATGGTTGTCTCTATTTTTAATCCTAAACCGTGTGTGTGTGTGTGTGTGTGTGTGTGTGTGTGTGTGTGTGTATAAAATAATACAGTAAGAGGAAACCTGGGTGGTCCCTTTTCTGGTACCAGCAGCAGATTGAAACCATTCAAACCCCTGTCCATGGGAATAAATTCTCACCCTAGCATGCCACCTACCCTCAATAAAAATCCAGGCCTGGCTCCTTTTCTTGCACATTCAAGCCATGTCAGATCACCTTGAAAGGCCTTCCTACTTACCTCACAAATGTAATTTATGTGAGTAGTAATTTCTTACCCTCTTAAAGCCACATCTTTGCAAGTGACTAACAATTGGTGCCATGAGCAGACTGTTCAGACATTGCCCACCAACCTGAGGATCTGTCTTCTCTTGCTAAGTTGCTCTGCTGCTTAATGTCTGGCATGTACTTTGACCTGCTGCTTCCGGAGGAGTTAGTGCTTTGAGCTGTGCCGCTCTGTTTATTGTTCTGCCAAATTTGTGAACTAAAAACTCAGACTTCCACATTACAGGGGGAAATGACACAAATCGTGGGGTTTGATTCAAACATAATAAATCTTTAAATTTTTATCATGCAATATAGTCACAAACGAATGAATAAAACATTTATCATAAGTTTTAGTGATAATAATGAAAACATTCTTAGAATCAAGATTTATTACATATATTTATAATATATATATAATTAATATATATAATATATAAATATATTTTATATTATAAATATATATAATTATATATAAATATAATATATATTTATAATATTTTATATAGAAATATATATATTTATAATATAATTATATATATATTTTTTTTGCCCCCGCCGCCGCGGATTCTTGCCCCCGACGCCACGGCTTTTTGCCCCCTACGCCGAGGCTTTTTGCGGCTTTTTGCCCCCGCCGCCGCCCCTTTTTGCCGCCGCAGTTTTTTGCTCCCGCCACCGCGGCTTCTTGCCCCCGCCGCCGCGGCTTTTTGCGGCTTTTTGCCCCTGCGGCATTTTGCCCCCGCCGCCGCCGGTTTTTGCCGCCGTGGCTTTTTACCCCCGCCACCGAGGCTTTTTGTCCCCGCCGCCCCAGCTTTTTGCCCCCACCGCCGCCGCTTTTTGCCACCACCGACGCGGCTCTGAGGGCGGGAGCGGCACACTCGGCTGCCGGCTCTACCGGCGTCCTTGTTCGGGCGGAGCCGAGGGGCGCTCCTGGTCCAGCTCTCCCGGCTCGGGGGTTCCTTGCCTAGGCGCCCGCGCCCCGAGCTCCCCGCCTTGGCCGCTGCGGCCTGCATAGAGCGGCGCTGCGCGTAGCGGCCAGGGGAGAGAAGAAGGAGGGCGGTGGCGGGGGTGATGCGGCGGCCTCTTTGGGAGGCGCAGGGGCCGCAGCCAGCCAGACGCTGCAGCAGTGTGGGCAGCTCCAGAAGCTTGTGGGCAGCTCCAGAAGCTTATCCGCATCTCCATTGGCAGCCTGAGCCGGTTGCGCAACAAGTGCGCTGTGTCCAAGGACCTCACCCAGCAGGAGATACGGACCCTGGAGGTAAGGGGGTCGTGGACCCAGGCTGGGCTCGAGGAGCGGCCCAGACACCTCCCTCCGTGCCCGAGTTCACTCCTGGCCGAGTTGCATCCTTGAGCCCGAGTCGCCCCGTTGGAGGCTTCCCCTCCCTCCTGCACTCGCTGATGCGGCAGCCGGAGGACCCGGGACCAGCCCTCACCTTGGGCAGGATCTGTGGGGCGGGTGCGTCGTGGGAACTGGCAGGGAGGCTTGAGGGGCCCATGGGCGAGGTGGGCTGCGAGCGGACATCCCCTTACCCCCTGAATTTCCATCTGGTCCAGCCCTCTCATCTTGTGGGTGAGGAAACCGAAGGCCTGAGGGAGAACTGACTTGCCTGGAACCCCTGTTAAGGAGAATTAACAAAGTGTGGTTATTAAAGGAGCACTGAGTTGGGAGTGAGACCTGGAGGCCCACACCCTTGGTTAAGACATAATACCACCTTGAGTCTGGCCTGTTGACTGAGGGTGAGCCACTCCATCCTCATCTGATTGTGGGGTCTTGACCTCAAGGGGTTGCCTGAAGGAAGAAGCACATGGGTTTGCTTTCCTAGCTCTGTCCAGTACCTTAGGGACCCTGAGGACTGGAGAGATTCTTGGAGAGCCATCTGGTGTATATCATGGGTGGGCCTTTTTTGAAGGTCAGTCTGCCCAGTGGGCTGGCTCAGCCCCAATGAACTGTCTTGAATCTTTGGAGTTGTCTGGGTACTTTTAAGGGCTTCTCATCCTTGCACCAAAAGATCCCCTGGAAATTAGGTGGGAAAACTTTAACTTTTGTGGGGCCTTGTGTTTGTCTTAAAAGTTCATGCACATGGCCAGATGTGGTGGCTCACACCTGTTATCCTGTCCTGGATCCCTTGAGTCAAGGAGTTTGAGACTAACCTGGACAATATAGTGAGACCCTGTCTCTACAAAAAATAAAATATTAGCCAGTGGTGGTTGTGCACATCTGTAGTCCCAGCTACTACTGTGGCTGAGGTGGGAGGAGCACTTGAGCCTGCACTGAGCTGTGATCTCAGCAGTGTACTCCAGCCTGGGCCACAGAGCAAGACCCTGACTCAAAAAAAAAAAAAAAAAAACCAACAAGAAAAATACTTGAAGATTTTTGCATTCTGTCCCACTACCCATTGGTTGTCATGTGAAGATAATGTCAGAAATTCTTTACAATTGCTTCCAGAAGGAGTAGCCTTTTGATCTAGTGCACAGGTGTCTTTTGGCTTCTCAGGGTCACATTGGAAGAAGAATGCTCCTGGGCCACATATAAAATACACTAATGCTAACGATAGCTGATGAGCTTAAAAAAAAAAAAGGTTTGTGCATAATTTTCATGATACCCACCACCACAGATAGGTGGAAAAGTCCTTGTAGTCAAAGGGTTGGACGCGGCTGACCTAGTGTCTTGTCATCCGTTTTGGCTTTCTCCCTGATTCCAGAATGCAGGTATAGATGTAGAGACGTGCTCTCAGGACAGCTGTTGAGATAAAAAATTCTTTGTCATTTATTCCCAAGCACAGCTGTTTGTCATTTGCATTGAAAAAGTCTCCATTCAAACTGCTGTCACATATAAAATCTATTTATGTAAGTCTGTATTTTTCTGTTGTCTTGGCCTTTTGGGCAGTAGAGTGTTTTAACCGAGCAAACTGTCCTTCCAAATAATGAAGTCGAAGTCAGCCTACCTGCTTGCCATTTTTCTTCCCCTTCCATTTTTCTAACTTCAGGATAATTGTAAGAATGAATTAAACTTTATGTTGAAGGCCGGGCACAGTGTCTCAGGCCTGTAATCCCAGCACTTTGGGAGGCAGAGAGGGATGTATCACTTGAGCTCAGGAGTTGAAGACCAGCCTGGGCAACATACTGAGACTCCGTCTTGTAAAATTAAATTAAAATGTTTAAAAAGAAGAGAAAAAGACCTGTGTTTAAATTTTAAAAAAGGGGAAATTGTAATGCAAAATGTGGACTATGCCAGCTATGATTGGGAAAAATAATTTTTCCTACAGCATTATCTGTAGACTTGTATTAGCAGCATACTGGTCATAAGCGTTTTGCTTTCCTCAAACATGATGAGGTAAGCTACTTTAAAGTGTGGTAGGGCTGTCTTCCACGTGGCTCCTGGTGGTGTTGAGTCCCAATTTAGCCAATTAATTTGGGTTTAGTTTTGATGTGGATAAGGGAGACCAGCTTCATTCATGGTGCACACACAGTTTTGCCAATAAGGGAAAAAAAAAGCAACCTGAATGTTCCTACTCATTAGATGCTATCTGGAGAGCTCCTACCCCACCCCCACCAAGGCCCAGACCCTTAAAAAGACTCAGTGCAGCCTTTCTGTATCTCATACTGTATTCTGCAAGATGCTCCTGTGAAAGAAAGTTGTGCTGCATCAGCCGTCTCCCTCCTGAAGATCCCTGCGGATGAGGATTTGTGTTTTAAAGGTTCTGAGAAGTCCTGCAATGACAGTCCTCAAACTTATTTGTCCAGGGGATCTTTTCTTCCACTGAACGTAGTTGGGGAGACACGGCCTTAAGCCTTGAGCAGAGAAAGAGACAAGAAGCTGTTGGCTCACTTACAACCAAGTGTTGTGTTTATGTGTTAGGTTTTCATGAAACTGAGGTGCTGTTTGAGGTTCTAAATCAAATTGGGTGGTTGAGGAGAGCCTGGTATCCCTGTAGACTTAGCCAGCCATGAGAGGTTGCCTTTTGTTGAAGGAGGTATTTTACAAAGGGAAGTAGGATGTCTCCTGGGCATCACATTAGCACTTAAATATATGTATCACTGAAATGAAATGAAATGATGAAATGGTGAAATGAAATAATGAAATGAAAGGAAATGATGAAATGAAGGAATGAACTGATGAAATGAAATGATAAAATGATGAAATGATGAGATGAAGTGAAATGGTGAAATGATGAAATTAAATGATGAAATGATGAAATGAAATGATGAAATGATGAAATGATGAAATGAAATGATGAAATGATGAAATGGAATGATGAAATGATGAAATGGTGAAATGAGATGAGGAAATGAAATGAAATGACGAAGTGAAATGATGAAATGAAATGAAATGATAAAATGATGAAATGAAATGAAAAGATGAAATGATGAAGAAATATGAAATGATGAAATGAAATGAGGAAATGAAGTGAAATGATGAAATGATGAAATAATAAAATGAAATGAAATGATGAATTGATGAAATGAAATGATGAAATGAAATGAAATGATGAGATGAAAAGATGAAATGAAATGATTAAATGAAATGATGAGATGGAAAGATGAAACGAAATGATGAGATGAAATGATGAGATGAAATGATGAAGTGAGGAGATGAAGTGAAATGATGAAATGAAATGATGAAATGATGAAGTGAAATGATGACATGAAATGATGAAATGAAATAATGAAAGGATGAAATGATGAGATGAAATGATGAAAGGAAATGAAATGAAATGATGAAATGAGGAAATGAAATGAAATGATGAAGTGAAATGATGAAATAATGAAACTAAATGAAAAGATGAAATGATGAAATGAAATGATGAAATGATATGAAATGATGAAATAAAGTGAAATGATGAAATGATGAAATGAAATTAAAAGAAATGATAAAATGAAATGATGAAATTATATGAAATAATGAAATGATGAAGTGAAATGATGAAATGATGAAATGATGAAATAATGAAATGAAATGAAATGATAAATTGATGAATTGATAAAATGAAATGAAATGAAATGACGAGATGAAAAGATGAAATGAAATGATGAAATGAAATGACGAGATGAAAAGATGAAATGATGAGATGAAATGAAATGACTAGATGAAATCATGAGATGAAATGGTGTAATGATGAGATGAAGTGAAATGATGAGATGAAATGAAATCATGAGATGAAATGATGAAATGATGAAATGAATGAAATGAAATGAGATGAAATGATGAGATGAAATGATGAGATGAAATGATGAAATGAAAGGAAATGATGAAATGATGAAACAAAATGAAATGAAGAAATGAAATGATGAAAGGAAATGATAAAATGATGAAATGAGATGAAATGTAATGGTGAAATGAGGAAATGAAATGAAATGATGAGATGAAATGAAATGAAATGATGAAATGATGAAATGGAATGATGAAATGATGAAATGATGAAGTGATGAAATGGTGCAATGAAATGAGGAAATGAAATGAAGAAATGAAATGATGAAGTGAAATGATGAAATGAAATGAAATGATGAAATGATGAAATGAAATGAAAAGATGAAATGAAGAAATGATACGAAATGATGAAATGAAATGAAGTGAAATGAAATGATGAAATGATGAAATGAAATGATGAGATGAAAAGATAAAATGAAATAAAATGATTAAGTGAAATGACGAGATGAAAAGATGAAATGAAATGATATGAAATGAAATGATGAGATGAAATCATGAGATAAAATGATGAAATGATGAGATGAAGTGAAATGATGAAATGATGAGATGAAATGATGAGATGAAATAATGAAATGAAAGAATGAAATGAAAGGATGAAATGATGAGATGAAATGAAAGGATGAAATGAAATGATGAAATGAGGAAATGAAATGATGAAACGAAATGATGAAGTGGAATGATGAAATTATGAAATGAAATTAAAAGAGGAAATGATGAAATGATATGAAATGAAATGAAATGATGAAATGAAGTGAAATGATGAAATTAAATGATGAAATGAAATGATGAAATAAATGAACTGAAATGATGATGAAATGAAATGACGAGATGAAAAGACAAAATGAAATGAAATGATGAAATGACGAGATGAAAACATGAAATGATGGGATGTAATGAAATGATGAGATGAAATCATGAGATGAAATGATGAGATGAAGTGAAATGATGAGATGAAATGAAATCATGAGATGAAATGATGAAATGATGAAATGCAATGATGAAATGAATGAAATGAAATGATGAAATGATGAAATGACATGAAAAGATGAAATGATGAAATGAAATGATATGAAATGATGAAATAAAGTGAAATGATGAAATGAAATTAAAAGAAATGATAAAATGAAATGATGAAATTATATGAAATGATGAAATGAAGTGAAATGATGAAATGATGAAATAATGAAATGAAATGATGAAATGATGAATTGATGAAATGATGAAATGAAGTGAAATGACGAGATGAAAAGATGAAACGGTGAAATGAAATGAAGAGATGAAAAGATGAAATGAAATGATGAGATGAAATGAAATGACTAGATGAAATCATGAGATGAAATGGTGTAATGATGAGATGAAGTGAAATGATGAGATGAAATGAAATCATGAGATGAAATGATGAAATGAATGAAATGAAATGAGATGAAATGATGAGATGAAATGATGAGATGAAATGATGAGATGAAATGATGAGATGAAATGATGAAATGAAAGGAAATGATGAAATGATGAAACGAAATGAAGAAATGAATAAATGAAATGATGAAATGAAATGATAAAATAAAATGATGAGATGAAATGTAATGGTGAAATGAGGAAATGAAATGATGAAATGATGAGATGAAATGAAATGATGAAATGATGAAATGGAATGATGAAATGAAATGATGAAATGATGAAGTGATGAAATGGTGCAATGAAATGAGGAAATGAAATGAAGAAATGAAGTGAAATCATGAAATGAAATGAAATGATGAAAAGATGAAATGATGAAATGAAATGATATAAAATGATGAAATGATGAGATGAAGTGAAATGATGAAATGATGAAATAATGAAATGAAATGATGAAATGATGAATCGATGAAATGAAATGATGAAATGATGAGATGAAAAGATAAAATGAAATAAAATGATTAAATGAAATGATGAGATGAAAAGATGAAATGATGAGATGAAATGAAATCATGAGATGAAATGAAATCATGAGATAAAATGATGAAATGATGAGATGAAGTGAAATGATGAGATGAAATGATGAGATGAAATGATGAAATGAAAGGATGAAATGATGAGATGAAATGAAAGGATGAAATGAAATGAAATGATGAAATGAAATGAAATGAAATGATGAAGTGGAATGATGAAGTGGAATGATGAAATTATGGCCTGGCTGGCTGGCTGGCATGGCTGGCTGGCTGGTTTTGGCTGGGTGGCTTGGCTGGCTTGGCTGGCTTGGTTGGCTGGCAGGCTTGGCTGGCTGGCTGGCTTGGCTGGCTTGGTTGGCTGTGTGGCTTGGCTGGCTTGGCTGGCTGGCTGGCTTTGGCTGGGTGGCTTGGCTGGCTTGGTTGGCTGGCAGGCTTGGCTGGCTGGCTGGCTTGGCTGGCTTGGTTGGCTGTGTGGCTTGGCTGGCTTGGCTGGCTGGCTGGCTGGCTGGCTTGGCTGGCTTGGTTGGCTGTGTGGCTTGGCTGGCTTGGCTGGCTGGCTGGCTTGGCTGGCTGCCTGGCTGGCTTGGCTGGCTTGGCTGGTTGGCTGGCTTGGCTGGATGGCTGGCTGTGGCTGGGTGGCTTGGCTGGCTTGGCTGGCTGGGTGGCTTGGCTGGCTTGGCTGGCTGGCTTGGCTGCCTGGCTGGCTGGCTTGGCTGGCTGTGTGGCTTGGCTGTCTTGGCTGGCTTGGCTGGCTGGCTGGCTTGTCTGGCTGGCTGGCTGGCTTGGGTGGCTTGGCTGGCTGGCTGGCTGGCTGGCTTGGCTGGCTTGGCTGGCTGGCTGGCTTTGACTGGGTGGCTTGGCTGGCTTGCCTGGCTGGGTTGGTTGGCTGGCTTGGATGGCTTGGCCGGCTGGCTGGCTTGGCTGGCTTGGCTGGATGGATGGCTTGGCTGGCTTGGCTGGCTGGCTGGCTGGCTTGGCTGGCTTGGCTGGCTGGGTGGCTTGGCTGGCTTGGATGGCTTGGCTGGCTTGGCCGGCTGTGCTGGCTTGGCTGGCTTGGCTGGCTGGCTGACTGGGTGGCTTGGCTGGCTGGCTGGCTTGGCTGGCTTGGCTGGCTGGATGGCTTGGCTGGCTTGGCTGGCTGGCTGGCTTCACTGGCTTGGCTGGCTGGGTGGCTTGGCTGGCTTGGTTGGCTTGGCTGGCTGGGTGGCTTGGCTGGCTTGGATGGCTGTCTTGGCTGCCTGGCTGGCCGGCTTGGCTGGCTGTGTGGCTTGGCTGTCTTGGCTGGCTTGGCTGGCCGGCTGGCTTGTCTGGCTGGCTGGCTGGCTTGGGTGGCTTGCCTGGCTGGCTGGCTTGGCTGGGTGGCTTGGCTGGCTGGGCCGCTTGGCTGGCTTGGCTGGCTGGCTGGCTTGGCTGGCTTGGCTGGCTGGCTGGCTTTGACTGGGTGGCTTGGCTGGCTTGCCTGGCTGGGTTGGTTGGCTGGCTTGGATGGCTTGGCCGGCTGGGTGGCTTGGCTGGCTTGGCTGGATGGATGGCTTGGCTGGCTTGGCTGGCTTTGCTGGCTTGGCTGGCTGGCTGGCTGGCTTGGCTGGCTTGGCTGGCTGTCTGGCTGGATTGGCAGGCTTGGCTGGATGGCTGGCTTGGCTGGCTTGGCTGGCTATGTGGCTTGGCTGGCTTGGCTGGCTATGTGGCTTGGCTGGCTTGGCTGGCTGGGTGGCTTGGCTGGCTTGGCTGGCTGGCTTGGCTGCCTGGCTGGCTGGCTTGGCTGGCTCTGTGGCTTGGCTGTCTTGGCTGGCTTGGCTGGCTGGCTGGCTTGTCTGGCTGGCTGGCTGGCTTGGGTGGCTTGGCTCGCTGGCTGGCTGGCTGGCTTTGACTGGGTGGCTTGGCTGGCTTGCCTGGCTGGGTTGGTTGGCTGGCTTGGATGGCTTGGCCGGCTGGGTAGCTTGGCTGTCTTTGCTGGCTTGGCTGGATGGATGGCTTGGCTGGCTTGGCTGGCTGGCTGGCTGGCTTGGCTGGCTTGGCTGGCTGTCTGGCTGGATTGGCAGGCTTGGCTGGATGGCTGGCTTGGCTGGCTTGGCTGGCTATGTGGCTTGGCTGGCTTGGCTGGCTCTGTGGCTTGGCTGGCTTGGCTGGCTTGGCTGGCTTGGCTGGCTGGCTGGCTTGGCTGGGTGGCTTGGCTGGCTGGGTCACTTGGCTGGCTTGGCTGGCTGGCCGGCTTTGGCTGGCTGGCTTGGCTGGCTTGGCTGGCTGGGTGGCTTGGCTGGCTTGGATGGCTTGGCTGGCTTGGCCGGCTGTGCTGGCTTGGCTGGCTTGGATGGCTGTCTTGGCTGCCTGGCTGGCCGGCTTGGCTGGCTGTGTGGCTTGGCTGTCTTGGCTGGCTTGGCTGGCTGGCTGGCTTGTCTGGCTGGCTGGCTGGCTTGGGTGGCTTGGCTGGCTGGCTGGCTTGGCTGGGTGGCTTGGCTGGCTGGGCCGCTTGGCTGGCTTGGCTGGCTGGCTGGCTTGGCTGGCTTGGCTGGCTGGCTGGCTTTGACTGGGTGGCTTGGCTGGCTTGCCTGGCTGGGTTGGTTGGCTGGCTTGGATGGCTTGGCCGGCTGGGTGGCTTGGCTGGCTTGGCTGGATGGATGGCTTGGCTGGCTTGGCTGGCTTGGCTGGCTGGCTGGCTGGCTTGCCTGGCTTGGCTGGCTGTCTGGCTGGATTGACAGGCTTGGCTGGATGGCTGGCTTGGCTGGCTTGGCTGGCTATGTGGCTTGGCTGGCTTGGCTGGCTATGTGGCTTGGCTGGCTTGGCTGGCTTGGCTGGCTGGCTGGCTTGGCTGGGTGGCTTGGTTGGCTGGGTCACTTGGCTGGCTTGGCTGGCTGGCTGGCTTTGGCTGGGTGGCTTGGCTGGGTGGCTTGGCTGGCTTGGCTGGCTTGGCTGGCTGCCTGGCTGGATTGGCTGGCTTGGCTGGTTGGCTGGCTTGGCTGGATGGCTGGCTTTGGCTGGGTGGCTTGGCTGGCTTGGCTGGCTGGGTGGCTTGGCTGGCTTGGCTGGCTGGCTTGGCTGCCTGGCTGGCTGGCTTGGCTGGCTCTGTGGCTTGGCTGTCTTGGCTGGCTTGGCTGGCTGGCTGGCTTGTCTGGCTGGCTGGCTGGCTTGGGTGGCTTGGCCGGCTGGCTGGCTGGCTGGCTTTGACTGGGTGGCTTGGCTGGCTTGCCTGGCTGGGTTGGTTGGCTGGCTTAGATGGCTTGGCCGGCTGGGTAGCTTGGCTGTCTTTGCTGGCTTGGCTGGATGGATGGCTTGGCTGGCTTGGCTGGCTGGCTGGCTGGCTTGGCTGGCTGGGCCGCTTGGCTGGCTTGGCTGGCTGGCTGGCTTGGCTGGCTTGGCTGGCTGGCTGGCTTTGACTGGGTGGCTTGGCTGGCTTGCCTGGCTGGGTTGGTTGGCTGGCTTGGATGGCTTGGCCGGCTGGGTGGCTTGGCTGGCTTGGCTGGATGGATGGCTTGGCTGGCTTGGCTGGCTTTGCTGGCTTGGCTGGCTGGCTGGCTGGCTTGGCTGGCTTGGCTGGCTGTCTGGCTGGATTGGCAGGCTTGGCTGGATGGCTGGCTTGGCTGGCTTGGCTGGCTGGCTGGCTGGCTTGGCTGGCTTGGCTGGCTGTCTGGCTGGATTGGCAGGCTTGGCTGGATGGCTGGCTTGGCTGGCTTGGCTGGCTATGTGGCTTGGCTGGCTTGGCTGGCTATGTGGCTTGGCTGGCTTGGCTGGCTTGGCTGGCTGGCTGGCTTGGCTGGGTGGCTTGGTTGGCTGGGTCACTTGGCTGGCTTGGCTGGCTGGCTGGCTTTGGCTGGGTGGCTTGACTGGGTGGCTTGGCTGGCTTGGCTGGCTTGGCTGGCTGCCTGGCTGGATTGGCTGGCTTGGCTGGTTGGCTGGCTTGGCTGGATGGCTGGCTTTGGCTGGGTGGCTTGGCTGGCTTGGCTGGCTGGGTGGCTTGGCTGGCTTGGATGGCTTGGCTGGCTTGGCCGGCTGTGCTGGCTTGGCTGGCTTGGCTGGCTGGCTGACTGTGTGGCTTGGCTGGCTGGCTGGCTTGGCTGGCTTGGCTGGCTGGATGGCTTGGCTGGCTAGGTTGGCTGGCTGGCTTCACTGGCTTGGCTGGCTGGGTGGCTTGGCTGGCTTGGCTGGCTTGGCTCGCTGGCTGGCTAGGCTGGCTGGCTTTGGCTGGGAGGCTTGGCTGCCTTGGCTGGCTGGGTGGCTTGGCGGGCTTGGCTGGCCTTGCTGGCTGGGTGGCTTGGCTGGCCTTGCTGGCTGGCTGGCATGGCTGGCTGGCTGGCTTTGGCTGGGTGGCTTTGCTGGCTTGGCTGGCTTGGTTGGCTGGCAGGCTTGCCCATGATCATCTCTATATCTAATTTGTATTATGACTATTCTATTCTAACAATTTTCTTTATTATACTGAAACAGTTTGTTTCAGTCTCTTGCCTTGGCACCTTGGTGACCTTTCGCCCACACTAATGGTCATATAATATAGTTTAGATGTCTCCTCCAAATCTCATATTGAATTTTAATCCCTAATGTTACAGGTGGGGCATGGTGGTAGATGGTTGAATCATGGGGATAGATTTCTCATGGCTCTGTGCTGTCCTTGTCATAGTGAGTACTCACGAGATGTGGTGGTTTAAAAGTGAAGCATACCCCTCCCTGATCTTTCCTGTTTCAACTCCTACCATGTGAGATTCCTGCAGCTCTTTCATTTTTCATCATGATTATAAGCTACTTTAGATGTTAATATTGTTACAAAATTTCACTGAATTTTCTTGTAAAATTACCTGACAAAGTTTATGTTATTATACCATTAATGTGATAAATAAATATATTATGACATTACAACATATTATGATATCATAATTCATATGTATTATGACATCACAATATATTATGACATCATAATGCACACACAACATGACATCATAATATATTATGGCATCATAATTTATACTACAACATCACAATATATCATGACATCATAATGCACATGTATTATGACATCAAAATTCATAGACATTATCACGTCACAGTATATTGTGACACCATCATCAGTATGTGTTATGACATCACAATATATTATGACATTATACTTCATATGTATTATGGCATCACAGTACATTATGACATCGTACTTTGTATATAATATGATGTATCATGAATTATTATGTAATTGATATGTATTACATATCTATTAGATGGCTCTGGATGTCTTGGGCTCTGTGGGGCAGGCTGGGGGTCAGAGGAGACACACATGCTGCAGATGGGGAGACTGGGGCACAGGGTCCTGGGGTTCCAGGAGCAGTGAGGAGGCCAGGATTGGCCTGTGGGGACTTTGATGTTGGCTCTGGGTGAGGTGGCTACTGTAGGTGTGAGCACAGCAGTGCTTGGGGGCTCAGGTGGCTGCCAAGGGGCAGATGGATGGAGGGGACAAAAGCTACAGCCCAGCAGGAGGGCAGGGTGGCCATGAGGGTTGTAAAAGTGATGCCAACAGCATTTGTGGGGGATTGGCTGTGGGTGTGAAACAGCAGCAGCGGAACAATTCCGTCATTCTGGCCTGGAACAGTGGCAGGTGAACTCTGCCCAGTTGTGGAGGGGTCTGTCAGGAAGATGGGGCTTCTGGTTTCAGAGGAGCCCAGAGATGTGCTCAGGCAGATGAGGGTCCTCATGGGATAGGCATGGGAGAGGCAGCTGCAACTTGGGGACCACTGGTGGTGGGCTGAGCCCCTGAGACCTCTGGAGTGAGCAGGAAAGAAAGTGAGGAGGAGCCAGCCAGGGAGCCAGAGGCAGAGGGAAGAGAGGAAAGTAGACCCCGGGAGGAGCAGACAGGAAAGGATGAAAATTTCCCCTCACCTGCCTCAGCAGCCTCTGCCCCTGCCCACACACCCTTGTGCACTCCCCCTGAGCCCCTGCTCACCTCTGCCTACCCAGCCATCCCAGGATGGTGTGGGCTCAAGCTCTGGGGGTAACTGAAGAGCCACTTTAAGAAGGCACAGTCTAGAAGTGAGCAGCATTGAGTCACTGTTGTCTCCCAGTCCTGGGAACATCCTGTGCCACAGTTTGCTGAGCTGTCTTAATCACCAGTGGGTCCCCATCTCCCACCCCTGGAATCCCAGAGGACAGCTCAGAGTTGTGATTGGTGCCTCTTCCCAGCGTCTCTCTACACAGCTCCCGGCTGTGCTTCAGCATCCTCCACCGAAAGGTGGGCCTGCCGCTGCATGTGAATGGCAAGGAGGTCACTGTGGGGAAGCGGCTGCCTCCTTTCTCTTTCCTGGGCCCCTGGTGCCTCTCTCCTGGGGGTAAGGCAGTTGAGCCTACCCACAAGTCCAGGCAGGAAGGCAGCCCCACCCCAGCACCCAGAAATTAGAAAAACTAGCTGAGGTGTGAGAGGGGGAATGGTGACAGCCCTGGAAGTCAGGATAAAAAAGAGACGAAGCCTCCAGGCCGCCATCCTCACCAGTGCCCACCGGGCCCTGAAGCTCTGCAGGGGGTGGCTTATGGGCTCAGAGGCTTGTGGACCAAGGCTTCTCAGCTGCTTCTGAGGCTCCCAGCTCTGCAAGGGGCTGGGTTTCTTCTCCTGGTAAACTGCTCCCAATGCCTGTCCTGACTCACTCACTTAGCTGGGCTACCTGCTGGGCCTCCTTCCTGGTGGGCCCTCCCCATGTGCCTCCCTGTGCAGGTGGGGTATCCCCTCGAGACTCCATTATTCTTTGAGGCTTTCAGGCCAGGATGAAGAACCCCAGCCTCTCAGCAGGAGCAGCCACTTGGGGGAAGCAGAGGGAATAGAAAGGCACACATTGCCAGCTCTGAGCATGA
Source organism: Homo sapiens (assembly GCF_000001405.40). Lineage (NCBI taxonomy): Eukaryota > Metazoa > Chordata > Mammalia > Primates > Hominidae > Homo > Homo sapiens. Next base: position 33,342,506 of record NC_000016.10, read on the forward strand.
CTGGGTGGGGACATTGTGTTGAAGCTCCTGGGAGCCTCATTCAGCCCAAGTAGATGTCCTTGACATGTCAACACTCTCCCTACACAGGAGAAAAACATGAGACTCGGAGTGGGCAGGGTGATCTTGAATCGGGGGTCTGGTCAGATGGGTCTCTGTTCCTCGCCTCAGCTATGGCCTTCATGTGTGCTTCCACCAGCAGAGACCCCTTCCTGGACTTTGCCCCAGTGGATGGACAGGAAACTGCCAGCCATGCTGGCCACCACAACCAACTTTCACTGCCTGGCTCCTAGCAACCCCACTCTCTCCATCTCCTGGCTGAAGAACCACAAGAGGTCTAAGGAGAGCATCACATCAGGATATTGAGGTGGGCCTGGAAGTTGGTGGGAGTGTGGGCTGGATGTGGAAGGTGGGACCTGTCTTTTGCTTACCTGTCCTTCCACCTGGAGCTATGGCACCAGAAGTAGACCCTGATCATGGAGTGTGGTGCCCTCAGACTGCTTTCATCCCACCTCTGTGATGAAGAACAAGTGCAGCAGCCTTCAGCAGTCATGCATGCTGGACAGCTGGGTGAGGACTGTGGCCTGTGGGCAGGGTGCAGGGAGCTAGGCAGCCTCTGAGCTCCCATCTATTCTCTCAATGTGCCCTCCTGACCAACTCTTTCTACCTGCAGGACTGCTGACCAACCAGATGCAGTAAGGTGAAATTCCACTGCAAAGTGTATGGCAACTTAGTATGTGGAGGTGAACAACAGCAAGGTGGGTGTCAATGGCATGCCCTATGTGACTGTGCTTAGGTTAGCTGCTGCTGCTTGTCAGGAGCATGGGGATGGCATGCCGATGCTCCACTTCACTAAACTCTACCATCATTATAGAAGTTTTGGAGTAGCCTATGAAAGACAGAATCATGTCATTATCCAAGAGACAAAATCCTCTAGAGTAAGCAGTTCTCCTGGATATAAACTTGGTGCTGGTTCATTTAGCATTTGCTACGAACCAATATCTAAAATTAGAGGCAGTTTCTCCTAAAGTGAGATGACATGAGTCAGTTGATAAAAGTGTGAAGCACTCCTGTGAGTATTGTCCCTCATAATTCATTCAAAAACATTTGCTTCTGTCTTTGCAACTTCATGCTCTCTGAATTCCCACACTGAGTAAAAACCTCCTTGGTGGGCTTATAATCAATCTCACATATTTAACAATTTGGATTTTATCTTACGTTCCGCTATAAAATATGGAACAAAATCGGTTTGATTTACAGTAGATGTAAAATAGAAAAATTAGGATGGGCTATTCTGGACATGTAGAATTAGTTCCTTTCATGGGTTTTCTACAAACCTGTATTTATTACACTAAAATAATGCTAAAATATATTTTGTTTTATTGTGTGGAGTTTAAATGGATACACTGGATAATGGAATAACATTAACTAAATAAACATTGATGCCTATTTTTTTCAGTGTTTTAAAATTTTTTAACAAAGATTTCTTTTTACGGTAAAATTGCACTTCATTAAATCTACTCCTAAATATTTCTTTCTTTTTCATACATACACAAATGGATTGTTTTTTTAATTTTATTTTCAGGTTGATCATTGTTAGTACATAAAAGTACAATTGAACTTTGCATATTGATTTTGTATCTTGTGACCTTGCTGAACTCATGTATTGGTTTTAGTGGGTTTTAATGAGTTTTTTATAAACTTTTATATTCACTTATGTCCTCTGCAATGATAGACAATTCTAACATCTTATTTTCCCACATTGATGATTTTGTTTTTTTCTCTCATGTAATTTCTTTGGATGTTAACATTTTTGCCTTGTTCTAAAATGTCAAGACACAACAACCAGTATTTTACTATTATGGCGTTAGGTGTAAGTTTTTCACTGATGCTCTTTAGCAGATTTAGGAAGTTTGCTTGTACCCTTCCTTTCCAGGGAGATTGTGAATGAATATTGGATTGGTCAAATGCTCCCTGTGTCTGTTGAAAGGCTCTTTCTGTTAATTTCCTTTATCCTATTACTTTGTGTAAGGCACTGATTGATTATCGGATAGATCAATATTGCATCTGTAAAATAATTCCATTTGGTCATGGTGTACATTCATTTTGATATATTCTTGATTCATTTCGCTTTTTTGAGAATTTCTCTGTGTGTATTCATCAGGGAAATTCATCCATACACATATTTACTTCTGATGCTTTTGTCTGCCTTTAGTATCAGGGTAATACTGGCCTCACAGAACAAATTGGGAAGTGTTCCCAATAACTGTCCCATATTTTCTGGAAGGTCTTGTAAAGAGTTGGCATTAATTCTTCATTAAATGTTTAGTAGAATTTACCAGTTAAGCCATGTGGCTCTGGGCTTCTCTTTTTGTGAAGATTTTTAATTAATTGAATCTCTTTACTTGTTATATGTGTATTCATATATTCTGTTCCTTCTTGGATTTGCTTTTATAATTGGTGCCTATTGAGGTATTTATTTCTAATTTGTAGTATTTCATGTGTTTAGGTTTTCTAGACAGTTGGCACAGAAGATTCAAGAAGTTTAATGTAGGAGAATGTTTAATGTAGGAGAATGAGGCTTTGGTGTCATCAATGAATGACTTGAAGTTTCTTATGTTGTAAAGAAAGATATGACCGTAACTGCCATAGTTAATATTTATTGTGCAAGTCAAATAAGAAGGCAGGAGGAAAGGACATCCATCACTCAATCACACACCAGTGTACTCATTAAAGCCTTTGAGAAGGACCCTCAACATTTTCCAAGAGAATTCCTTTCCTGGAATCACCATTATAGAGAAACTGGCTAAACAGACAGGCATTTCAGAGTCCAAAATTTACATTTGGTTTCAGAACCAAAGACCTCAGCTCCCAGGCCACAGCAGAAGCGGGCTTGTGAATTCCCTGGCAGCGGGTCCAAGACCAAGACCTCATCTGACTGTTTGGCTGGAACAAAACATGTGCACTACCCCAGGCAGGTCTCATCTTCTTCCTGCCTCCTATTCTGTCAGCAGCCACCTGTCATTTGTACCAGCTCTTCCTTCACCTCCCACAACCTGTGATTTTTTGGATCCCTCTGCAGGCTGTGTGAGCCAGGCACCAAGGGTCACGATGCACATAGCACCCTGGCTGTGCAGATGGGAGAGTTCTCTCAACCTCTTCTGGCACTTAGGAGTCATATGTCAATGGTACCAACTCTAGGAGGGAGGCTCTCCCATACACAGACTTGTTTCTGGCCTCAGTCGAAAGGAAAACTTTAGGATGACAAGAAAAATAAGACACTGGCCTGGAAGTTCTGCCTTAAAGGGACAGCCACAGCCTGGTCATCCTTAGCCACAATTTTAGAGTCTGGGTCAACAGGACACATCCCACCTTCAGAAGTGGTGGAGCTTAGGCAACGGGTCCCAGGATGCCATGATTCAATGGCAACCTGGAGCAGGAGCACCTTAGTAGCCCATGCACATAGGTCTACCTGTGGCAGAAACAGGCACAAGCCATGAAAGAGCCATCTATCTGCTGGAGCAACCACACCAGTCATCTGCATGATCTTCTACAAGTCCCAGAGTTTCAGGAAAAGGCACAATCTTTTCGGAATGCAGATCCACAAGAGGAGGGCCCTCCGTGGTCTGAATCACCACTCAGTGAGAAAGAATTTCAGGCTCTGCTTAACAGGCTGCAGAGCTCACCAGGGGATCAGCTTTAGCAGGCAGGCATCCTTCTCAGCACTGCCATCCAGGACTCTTTCCCTTGGACACAAACAGCAAAATGCCAGGAAGACGGGACCAGGAACACAGTGTGGTCAGAAGCAAGACTGATGCAAGAAGCAACCACTTGGAAATCCAAAGGGAGCATTTTGGCCCTCTCCTGTGGGCAGCCCTCAACTTTGGTGCTCACTTCCTAACCTCAGTGACGGTTTCTGAGCTTCATCCTGCCTCTGGAGTCCACATGGGCTCCAGGCGGTGAACAGTTTCACTGAATCCTGATGCAGCAAAGCAGCATTCTCATGACAAACAGGACCTCTTCACTTTGATCATAAGCTCCTGGGCCATCTGGACAATGCACAAACTGGAAACCCAGCAAGGGGAGGAAAGTAGCTCTAAGGGGGACACATTCCCACTTCTTTCCCTTCTAGCAAGTTTGAAAGCTAATTGTAAATGCAGGTGGATATGTAGAAAATGAGGGCATGCTATAACTTCTCATCACATGAGGTTATGACCAGGAGTTTTTAATCCTAGCTCTGAGAGCTGCAAATGGGAATTGGAAGTTTTTCCACTAAGCATCTATCAATGACTGATTGTGCAAGCTTATCTTCATCATGCTGAGGAGTCTTCACTGAGAATTTTCCTATTGAACAAATAAACATAGAGATAGTGACAAGTAGGCCAGGCATAGAGGCTCACGCCAGTAATCCCAGCATTTTGTGAGACCAAGGTGGGCAAATCAGTTGAGGCCAGGAGTTCGAGACCAGCCTGGGCAACATGTCAAAACCCCGTCTCCACTAAAAACACAAAAAACAGCTGGGCATGGTTACTCATGCTGGTAATTCCAGATATTCGGGTGGCTGAAGCCTGAGAATCTTCTGAACCCAGGAGGCAGAGGCTGCAGTGTGTTGATATTTTGCCACTGTACTCCAGCTTGGGCAACAGAGCAAGACTCTGTCTCAAAAAAAAAAAAAAAAGAAGCAAGTGAGTAAGAGAGAGAAAACTATAAAATCACTGAACAAAGTGTAAAGATGTTAATTTTCCCACAACGTTAGAAATTTTGTGTATATTTACATGCATATCTACACATAAAGCTGATCTCCTTATATGTTAAATCAGTTACATGTTCAGTGAAAAATACATTATTTTCTCTGTTTTAACACTGAAGAGGGGTGCACGTGGTCCAGACATGTCCTGTTGGAGTTGAATGGGGCATGTTCTGGGAAAAGGGGAAAGGCAGAGTAAGGGCCTGGTGCATTTAGGTGGGGTAAAGTGGGACTCTAATAGAGAGGCATCCAGGGTCTGGGCCCTAGCAACACTGAGGCTCACGGGGGCTTCTGCAGGTGAGGGAAATGGTGCAGGGTGCTGAAGGCTAAAATATCCTGTAACAGGCGAAGATCTGGCCAGATCGTCCTGCATTCCAGCATCATTGCCAGCCAGGCCTAACTTGACCCTATATTGAAGACACCTGGGATGGACAGGCGTGAGCCTCCAGGCTTCAAAGAGCCCCCAAATGAGATCTGCCCTGCGGCAAGGGTCCAGACCGTTACGGCCAGGCCAATTTAAAAGAGCCCCATCTCCTCTGTTCTCAGAGGCTTAAGCGGGTGGAGAACAGATAAGAAGTGAACTGAAGTCTCCTTGAAAAAAACAAAGTCCCATGGGGTTTGCCACCCCCTCCCCCCACCCACCTAAAACTGGAACCAGTCAGCCACCTCTGTCTCTTCTCCATGCCAAGAACCTCTGTTCAGGGCTCCTGGCAAACCCCTCCTCCCTGCTGCCTCCCCGCCACAGTACGCTTGCCAGGAATGCCCGAGATCTGGCACCTGAGCATGTTGCGTGGCAGGCGGGGGAGCAAGCGGGACAAGGGCGGCGATGTGTCCTGCACAAAGGCCCAGGCTGCAGACCAACTCGCCTCGCAGCAGGTAGCAGCTGTGTGCCCCCTGCCAGGCCACTCCCCCTCCCGGAGCAGCAGCTCCCGCTGCCACTTCTGTTTGTTGAACACAGGATGTATGAATGACGGCTAGGGAGCCAAGGATGGGGATGGTGGCGACATCTGATACTGTTGTAGTAAAACTCCAGCCAAGGAACACGAAGAGACCTTTGGAGACCAAAGAGAACTTTATTTAATTCAGGCACCTGAGCCAACAGCAGGCTCATGCCCAAAATGGCTGCCGACCCCTGCAAAGAAAGCAGGCTTGCTTAAGTGCCGTTTGAGGCGGGAAAACAAGGCAGGTTACAGGTTTCAGACAAAGACAGTAAATTATCCAACCCGTGACAATTCGGAGAGAACTTACAATTTAGTTATTTTGTCCAGTCAACTTTGAAGCTGAACAGAGCTGGGGTAAGGGAAAACACGAATTACAGGAATATGCGGGGGTCTGGAGGCAGGCAATAAGCTTGGAAGATTGAGATAAGCTCGCAGCTGCAACTTGTTAGCAATGCTGGAATGGACTGCTGAAATTTCTTAGCCTATGTATAACTTCTAAGTAACCTATGCTGAATGTTAACTATTACCTATGTTAGGTTTATTATTTTAAACTTTATTATTACTTATTTTATTTTATTTTATTTTCTTTCCACAGTATCTCTTACCATCCGGCCCAGGCAGCAGCCAGCCCTGCCTGGGCCGCGGCCGCCGGCCTCATGAGCCTGGCATTCCTGTCGCCCCCTCTCCCCATAGCTTGCCTCCTCCTTCTCACAGTCGGGCGCCCGGCTCCTCGAGACGCAGGACCACCTCAGATCTCCAGTCCTGCACCTGCCGGCTGAGCAAACGAGGAGACGGGGAGAAAAGCTGTCTGTCGTTCCTGAAGGAACAGGACCTCCGCACTCCAAGAAGGAATCCGGCGCCCAGTGGGGGCTGCAGGAGCAGAGGACCGTGGCGGCAGTAGCAGGAGAGGCAGGAGTAGGAGCAGTGGCTTCTCTGGAGGTGGCACTGTCTGCCCCCTTGAGCCTCTTCCTAACGCAGTCTTGATTCAAAATCCCTGCTCACCACGGATGCACAGTCACAGCTGAAGATTGTAGTTATCTAGGAGGATTCTTTCTTAGTTGTAAATCTATGTTTTATATAGGAGTTTTTTCGTTGTTTCTCTCATTCTTTTTTGAAATTTCATATTACTATTTTTTTTTTTTTTGGTAAGTTCCTTGACATTCGTGTTTTGTGAGTTTGGTTTTACCTACGTATTATGATTTTGGATGTAAATCTGCAACTCTATATACATGTTAAGTCAATGTGATGTTTAATCAAAATATGAATCAGCCATATCTACCACCAATAAAATCGTGTGTTTGTTTGCCTCTATAAATATAGTCTATTTCTTCTTAATTATCTTGCATATTTCTCTTCTTGGCTGGTGTCAAAAGTTGTTTTATCTTGTTCAGGACAGTAGTCATATAAGTAGTCTTAACTTACCCACGTATTTATTGAACAAATCTATATTTTCTTTGTGTGAGGAAAACACATTTATAATTTGAAGGTAATTTTCCAAAAAGTTTGTAACTCGGTATCTCTTTTATGTATCACTTTACAATATTTTAACTGTAATAAAACACAACAAAATTTACCAGTCTATACATTTGTAATTGCATAATTTATTAGTGGTACATATATCCACATTGTTATGCAACAGGCTTCTAGAGCTTTTCCATTGCAAAACTAAAACTCAATACCCATATACGTCAACTGCCCATTTTACCCTCTCCTGAGCCCTTAACATTTTACTTTCCATTTCTGTGAGTTGGACTACTTAAGATATCTCATAAGTGGAATCACACAATCACTGTCACTTTGTTTCCTGGCACATTTCACTTAACATCATGCCCTAAAGGTTTATTGTCATTGCAGCATGTGATAAGATTTCCTTTTAAAATCATATTTCATTGTATGTATATATCATATTTACTTATTTATCTGTCAAGGGACATTCAAGTAGCTTCTACCTTTTGGATTTTTAGAATAATTCTGTCATAAACGTGGGTATGTAAATGTTTCTTTCAGGTCCCGCTTTGCACATTTAGATAGATATCTAGAAATGGTATTGCCAGACCACATCATAATTCCAATTTTAATAATCTGAGGAAACTCTGTACTATTTTTCATAATGGCTGCATGATTATTTTTTCCACCACCCAGTGCACAAATATACCAATTTCTCTACATCCTTGAAAACACTTGTTATTTTCTCTTATTTGATAGTGGCCATCCTAATGAATGTGAGGTAATATCTCACTGGGGTTTTGCTTTTCATTTCTCTAAAGATTCATGATTTGCAGCATCTTTTAAAATTCCTCTTGGCCGTTTGTATATCTCCTTTGTAGAAACATGTGGGTGTGAAGGATTACCTAGGTGCCGAGGCAAGAGACTGAAGGTAAAAACTGTTGCAGTATAATAAAGAAAACAGTTAGAATAAAGAATAGTTATAACACAAATTAGATATAGAGATGATCATGGACATTATCCATCATTAGTATAAACATTATTAATCACTAGCTTTTAATATTACTCTTTGTTGTATTACTCATATAACCAAGGAATAACTGGTGGGTATAGGGTCAGGTGCTGAAGGGACATTGTGAGAAGTGACCTAGAAGGCAAGAGGTGAGCCCTCTGTCACACTCACATAAGGGCCGCTTGAGGGCTCCTTGGTCGAGCGGTAATGCCAGTGCCTGGGAAGGCACCTGTTACTTAGCAGACCATGAAAGGGAGTCTCCTTTCCTTGGAGAAGTCAGGGAACACTCTGCTCCACCAGCTTCTTGTGGGAGGCTGGATATTATCCAGGCCTGCCCGTAGTCATCCGGAGGCATAAACCCCTCCTTGTGGTGCTGTGTTTCAGTGGTCACGCTCCTTGTCCACTTTCACGTTCCTCCCATTCTCCTGGTTCCTCTTTGAAGTTCTTAGTAGATAGCGGTAGAAGGAATAGTGAAAGTCTTAAAGTCTTTGATCTTTCTTATAAATGCATAGAAGAAAACACTGATGTATGCTGCCTTCCCTCTCTGCTTTGGCTGCCTAAAAGGGAAGGGCCTCCTGTCCCATGATCACATGACTTGCTTGACTTTATCAATCACCTGGACGACTCACCCTCCTTACCCTGCCCCCTTGTCTTGTATGCAATAAATATCAGCGTGCCCAGCCATTCGGGGCCACTACTGGTCTCTGCGTCTTGGTGGTAGTGGTCCCCCAGGCCCAGCTGTTTTCTCTTTATCAGAAAGCTTACTACATTTGAGGTAGTCCCATTTTCCTGCTTTTTTCTTGTTACTTCTGCTTTTAATGTCATGTTAAAAAAATTATCAAGACAAATGTCATGATTTTTACCTTATATTTTAAGACTTTTATAGCGATCTTACTTACATTTAAGTGTTTAAGATAGTTTTCTATATGGTGCAAGTGAAAAGTCCAATTTTATTTTCTTCCATTTTGATACTCAATTTTAGAACACTATTCTGTTCTTCCCTGTTGTTCGGTCATGGCAGCCTGATTGAAGATTATTTGATGATATTCATAAAGGTTTATTTCTGGGTTCTCTATTCTATTCCATCATCTATTTGTCTTTCTGTTTGTATTGCTATAGCTTTATAATATATTTTGGAATCAGGAAGTGTGATACCTCTAACTTTGTTCTTCTCCACAGCTACTTTGGCTACTCATTGTCCCTTGAGATTCCATATGAATTTTAAGACTTAATATTTCTGAAAAAAATGTAACATTGGGATTTTGATAGAAAATACTTTGAATTTGTGCTTCACTGTGAGTAGTATTGACATCTTAATAATATTAAATTTTCTGACCCTTGAACAAGAAGTCAAGAGTGTTCTGTTTTAAGTTTCACATATTTTTTCATTTGCCAGTTTCCTTCTGCTTGTGATTTGCAGCTGAGGTCTTTTTACGCTGCCCATGCTGGTCTCCAACTTTTGGGCTTAAGCTATTCTCCCTCCTCAGCCTCCTGATGTGTTTCAATTACATGGATGAGCCACTGCACCTGGCCTCTTTATTGTTTTTCTGATATTTTTAGGATTTGAAGGTAATTTTTGAAAAGATTGATAAATATGTATCTCTTTAGAAAGTTTTTCACTATTAATGTAGTCAAAACCACATAAAATTTACCATCTTAAATATTTTAAGTACATAGTTAAATAATATTAAATATATTCACATTGTTATGCAACATATCTCTAGAATGTTTTTATGTTGCAAAACTAAAATTCAATAGCCATGAAACAACAACTACCCTTTTATCTCCTCCCCTGAGGCTCTGACTGATACTATTCTACTTTCTGTTTCTAAGAGTTTAACTATTTTAGATATTTAACTGGAATCACACAGTGTCCTTTTATGACTCATTTATTTTATTTACATAATGTCCTCCAGATTTATCCTTAGTGTAAAAATAATCAGATCTCCTGCTTTTAAAAAACTGGATAATATTCCATTATTTGTATATTCCAATTTGTCTTTATTCACTGATTCATTGAGGGACATTTGGGTTGCTTCCACCTATCAGCTGTTGTGAATAATGTTGTGCAATGAATATGGATATACAAATAACTCTTCATTTGGCCATATATATGACAGTTTATTTCTGTGCTCTATTCTGTTCCATTTGTCTGTGTGTCTGCCTTTATGTCAGTACTAAATAGTTTGGTTACTGTAATTTTGTAATACATTATAAAGTCAAGGAGTGTGATGCCTCCAATATTATTTCTTTTTTTGAAGGTTGTTTGGCTCCTGAGAGTCACTTTAGATTCCATATAAGTTTTAGAAATGTTTTTTGTATTTCTGCCAAGTGAAATGACAGTTAAAATTTGATAGAGATCTCATTGAATCTGTAGATCATTTTGGGTAGTGTGGACATCTTCACAATATTGTCTTCCAACCCTTGAACGAGAGCATGCAGAAGAGTGCGTTGTTTAATTTCCACATATTTGTAGATTTTCCATATTTCTTCTGCTATTGATTTCTAATTTTATTCCCTTGTAATAAAAAATGATTGTAATATTTTAATCTTTTTTTTGAAACAGAGTTTTGCTCTGTTGCTCAGGCTGGAGCACAGCGGCTCAATCATGGCTAACCAGAGCCTCGATCTCCCAGGCTCAAGCAATCCTCCCCCGTCAGCCTCCTGAGTAGCTGGACGCACAGGCATGTGCCATTATGCCCAGCTAATTTTTAAATTTTATATTTTCTAAAGAGAGGGTCTCTTTATGTTGCCCAGGCTGGCGCCGAACTCCTAAACTCACTAATCCTCCCACCTCAGCCTCCCAAAATGCTGGAATTATAAGAATGAGCCACAATGCCTAGCCCATATTTTAACATTTTAAAATTTGGTAAAACTTGTTTTGTGTCCTAGTAGGTTATCTACTCAGGAGAATGTTTCATGACCTATTGGAAAAAGTGTGTATTCTGATATTGTTGTGTGAAGTGTTTTTTTTTTTCTTTTTTTTCACTTCTATTTGTAGCCTACACAGACCTATTGGACTGAACAAAGCAGGGTGAATGCAGGAATAAAAGACAAGAGACAAAGGGGTATATTTGGAAAAAGGGGTCAGGGGCACCTTGCCTCTAGTGGACAAGGTACCTGAGCTTTACACAGCCCTCCATATTTATTAGGTAAAAGAGATAGTGAGAAGGCGGGGGTGGTTTTCCACCAGCAGCTTGATTCACAGCTGACTCGAGAGACTGCATTCTTAGAACAATAGGCACTGGATTTCTCAGTAGATAACTTCAAGGAGCCTGGTGCCAGGGAATGAGGCCCTCAGCAAACCTTTTGGTGGCAGGGCAGTGTGAGTTTGCCCACATCCTGCATTCATGATAAAGAGTTTGCTGTTTGATCATATAGCCTCCAGTGGAATGCTGAGTTGGTCATGTCCCATGGGCCTTCAGCTTCCTGAATCTATTCACTGTGATGAGTGTTTTCTATATGTCTGTTCGGTTTACAGAGTTTGCTACTGATAGTCGGATAATTATGTCTCTTACTATTTTTGCATAGCTATTTCTTTCTTCATCTGGGTCGATCTTAGCTTTATACATTTGGAAACCCCGATGTGAAGTGTACATATATTTATTATTAACACAGCTTCCCCAGTGAATCAACACTTGTATCATTATATACTATCTTTATTTGTCCTTTAATTCAGTTTTGACTTAATGTGTATTTTGCATAATTATGACCCCTCTTGCTCTCATTTGATTGCAATCTTCCTAGAAGATATTTTTCATACTTGCACTTTTAGCCTATCTGTGTGCTTAGATCTAAAGTGAGTTTCTTATAGACAGCAGAAAACAAATCGTTTTTTCTTTCAATCTCTTTAGCCAATTTACACATTTCTGTTGGAAATTTTACTCTATGTATATATTCATTTTAATTGTGAAAAGAATGGACTACTTCCATTTTGTTAATAGTTCTATTTGTTTCTTGTAGGTATTTTCTCCTCTTTTCTGCTCTTACTGCCTTCCTTTTTATTTAATTGATTTTTATAGTGACATATTTCTATTTAATTTGCCAAGGCCAAGTTGCAAGATAAAAAGTTTGCCTTTAATCTAGTCTCTCCACATCAGATCAAGCCTATGGACAGATCTAAAAACATGAGGTTTCCCTCTTCTGGGGCCCCACTTTTTGGACTGCTGTATGATCTCTGGAGGTTTGATGAGTCCACACCAAGCAAAAGTGGACAGCAGTGTTCTACCTGTGAACACTTGTTTCTTGTAGGCCCTACTGTCTCTCAGGGCACCACCTCTCTTATCCTTTAAACAGGAGTGATATTGGCAGAGAAGGGGCATTCACTCCTATCTGGCAGAAAAGGAGGATTCAGGCCCTTTAACCTCCCTAAGGTCAGAAAAGTCAGAGCCCTCAGAGATGCACTTGCAATGTGGCAGCCACTGGGCACAGGGGCTACTGAACAACTGTATTGTGCCCAGCATGAACTAAGATATGCTGGGGAGAAATACAAGAAAATATTTAAATATTTAGTTACATATACATATGTGCATAAAAATATATAATGCTGGGTTAAAGAAACATATGTCTATGTGTGTGTACGTATATATGTACACATATATATGTTTCTTTAATTATTTCATTCTGATTATATGTTAAAATATTTCAGATATATTGAGCTATGTTGTTAACATCAATTTCACTCATTTTTCTTTTTCTTTATGCTGCTACTAGCAAATTCTAATTGTCACATGTGGCTCACATTTTACTTCTATTGCACATTGGTGCAATAGAGGATTGCCTAATTTCAAAGCTCAGTTTGCCTCAAAAGCCAAGAGGCCAGAAAGATTGTAAAATCTAAAAATTAAAAATAATTGTAATTGGTTGGGCATGGTGGCTCATGCCTGTTATGCTAGCACTTTGGGAGGCCGAGGCAGGCGGATCACTTGACCTCGGTTCGAAACCAGCCTGGTCAACATGGTGAAACCATGTCTCTACTAAAACTACAAAAATTAGCTGGGCAACATGGTGGGTGCCTGTATCCCAGCTACCTGGGAGGGTGAGGCAGAAGAATCACTTGAACCTGGCAGGCGGAGGTTGCAGTGAGCCAATATCTCATCACTGTACTCGAGCCTGGGTGACAGAGTGAGACTCTGTCTCAAAAAAATGTAAATAAAAATAAAAATAATTGTTATTATTTTGTTTCTATTTTGAATAATACACACACACACCCCTCCCCCTTCACACACACACAAATAAGGCAGAGAAAGAAAGAGAGAATCTTGTTCTGTCACCCAGGCTGCAGTGCAGTGGCCTGATCTCAGCTCACTGCAGCCTCTACCTCCCAGGCTTAAGTGACCCTCCCACCTCTGCCTCCCAAGTAGCTGGGACCACAGACACGTGTGACCATGCCTGGCTAATTTTTTCATTTTTTTGTAGAAAAGTTTTGATGTGGGGCCCTCACATTCTGTTGCCCAGGCTGGTCCCAAACGCCTGGATTCAAGAGCTTCTGTCCCCTCAGCCTACCAAAGTGCTGGTATTAAAGGTGAGATCCACTATGCCTGGCCACATATATACAACTTATAAATAAAAATAACCTTATATACAAGGTTAAATGCAAATATCCCACAGTGAAGGCCGGGCTTCAGCATAAGGAGGAAGTCCTGCCTGAAAAAGGCTGCGGCTTGGAACATTTTACCCTGTTGTCATCTGGCTACGAGTTGGCTCACATCTTCTCTCATTCAGAACCTGAAGGGGTGGGGCCTGGGGCCGTATTATCCAATCACTAGTGCTGGGGTAAAAACTGTCTTAAAACTATTCTTTTAATGCTTAGCAATACTAATTTTTAGTGAGAAACTTAAGATTACTTAATTTAACATAACCAGACTTTAAGATTTTAAATTACTAAAAAAAAAAAAAAGAAACTTAAAATGATGACAGAGTTACTTCCTCTAATGTTTTTTGGTGAGGGTTTCAAATACCTATGTCATATATTGAAACCTACAGTTCTATAAGCCCTACCCTTAAATCAAAACAACCCTGATGCTATTGTGAACAGGTACTTAGCACAAATCCTACCCTTAGGCAAATTTATATAGTGATTTCAATTGTCCTTCACATTCCCTTTCCTGTGATAAGTGTCTGGGTTTAGGGGGTCACAGTGTGAGGTTCCACCATCTTCAGCTATCTGAGACATAGCTTCTATTAATAAATGTTCCTCTTAAATGTTTCTTTCTGAGAAGCTTGATTTGTCAGCCTCATTCTTCAAACTCTCAGCTCCTTTGGCCTTTAAAGGTAGGTTTATATATATATATATATACTCACAAGAAAACACCCTCATATATATAGTCTGTCAATTTCTCAAACATTGTTATGTGGTTCATGACTGTAATGTGTGCCACATGTAGTTTTGTACATGAATAGTATATTTTTTATAGCTACTTTCTATTACACATCACTAAAATACATGTTCAGTAAGTGCTCACTTAACATCATTGATAGGTCCCTGGAAACTGACTTTAAGTGAAACAAAATACTATATGCCATGGAAAATTAACTCTTGTTTATATCAATTAGCCAATGGTAAAATTGGTTTTATTATATAGTACATTGTTTTACTTAAAGTCACAGTTTCTGAGAATCTATCAAAAAAGGGAGAACATACTGTCATTAGTATTACAGTATATGGTACATTATAGCATTACACTATTATAGTATGTTATTGTAGTCTTAGCAATTGGTAGTATAATGTGTTTCAGTTTCTCCCAAGGTCACAGAATTATCCAGACCAACCAATAACAACTTCCTGTGGGAACCAGGTGCATCTCACCCTCTTGATACTACAAAGCCTTCCCCAACACCCCCTGTTTGTTCTCTCTGCTCCCAAGTGCAATCCCTGTGTGGGTCTGTATACCTTATATAATTTCCTTCTTCCATGATTATATGTAACGAATAACTGCTGTCAATCTCATTTGTCCAATGATTGGTGCCATGGTTTTAACTGTTCCAGTAGTACAAGGGTGGTAATTTATCCCTCACCAATGGGGTAAAGGGGAGGCTAATCAAACAATTCACAATACAAACTGGATTAACCAACTATGACTAAGGACATCGGCTCAACTTTAACTGCTTTTGGCCTACTGATTTCATGATACATTAAAAGTCACCTCAGTCAGAGCCACCAGTTTCTGGTGGGCTTTTGCTTTGGTCTAAATAGCCATTTGTGGCCTTTATCATGAGTTGCCTTCCCTGACCACATTAAAGCACACTCATCACCTAGACATATATGGTCAGTTGACTCTGCTGCAGCCTGATGTGTCATCATATTTAGCCTTTGTTTGGCATGCAGCTTGCAAGACACTTGCCTTTCAAGGCAGTGAAAACACAGAACCTTAATCAGTGAGTACTTCAGTCCTGATTACCAAGAGTCAGGCTATATCCCTGTGGTCACTTCATCTGGTCTGCTTACCATTACTAAATGCCCGGGTAGTCATATGAACATTGCTTATTATTGCACACTCTCAGGAAAGGCCCAGGGACGGTTTTTTGTAAAATTGCAAAAAACAAAAAGGACTTTTACTTTGGAGAGAATTATGCACGTCACTCAGTTGCTCTAACAAGTGCTACCGTCATGGGAGCAAGAACAGTGACCTTGTGTTTCCTGAGCTGCCGCTTCCTTTGCTCCTGTCACATGCACTCTCACGATGAGGGGCTCATTCCTTGTGCCTTATGGTTCAGGCACTGATGAGAAATAAAAAAGAGAAAGATAACTTAATATTAGTCCCTCCCAAAACTTACTGGGTAATTCTCTCATCCTAAATCCCCTACTCATCGTGTAGGCTTTTAGCACTGCTGCTTACCAGTATGCTAAAGGTGCAGACTTAGGATCAGAAGTTTGATGAACTCAAACAAAAAGACCACAATGCATATGGGTGCTAATCCCAGTGAAATGGAGTGGCAGTAAACACCTTCAACCAAAGAGAAAACAGATCACAAATAAACAAATAATGACACAACTCAAGAAACTAGAGGAGGAAGAACTTATCCCAACGTTCCCAGATAATAAAATTAGTAAAAAAAATCGGAGCAGAAATGAATACACTGAAGATTAGAAAAACAATAGAAAATGTAGAAAAATTGTAAGAGCTTGTTTTATGAAAACATGAAGTTGGCATATCTTTAGCTAGACTAAGAAATAAATGCTTAAATAAATAAAATCAGAATTAAAGGGAATACATTACAACTGGTAAAACAGAAATAAAAAAAGGTCATAAGACTGCTATGTACACAGACTCCTATGTACAATGATATCCCACCAAATGGGATAAGGGAGAAGACATGAATACATTTCTAGACAAGTACCACCCACCAAGACTGAAGCATAAAGAAATAGAAAATATGAATAGATCAGTAATGGGTAAGGAGTTTAGATCTGATGACTTTGTTGCTGAATTTTACTAAACATTTAAAAAGAACCAAATCTTTGAAAAAATTGAAGGAGGAGGAATACTTCCAAACTCATTTTATGAAGCCAGCATTACACTGATACAAAAACCAGAGATGGACATTACAAGAAAAACAATTACAGGCCAATATCCCTGATGAACATAGATGAAAAATCATCCGCAACGTAGTTGCAAATGAAATTCAAAAGCACTTTAAAAGGATCATTTATTATGATCAAGTTGGATTTATTCCTGGGATGCAATAATATTTTAATATGTGGAAATCAATAAATGCCATACTCCTTATTTACACAACAAAAAGATTAAAAATCATGACTTTTTTATGCATGCCTAAAATTATTTTGACAAAATTTAAAATCCATTCCAAATAAAATCTATAACAAATTAGGTATAGAAAGAATATACCTCAAAATAAAGAGATATGTTCTTTATAAGCTATAGGACAATCCCATGGTTAACATTATTGTCAATGGTGAAATTTTGGAATTGTTTTTAAGATTTATTATAAGAAAAAGATGCCCACTCTCACTACTTCTTTCAACACCGTATTGGAAATCCTGCTCAGAATCTAAGACAAGAGAAAAAAGAGCATTTAAATAAGAAACAACAAGTTCTTCTATTCATGGAGATTAACGCTCAGGTTTTTGCAGATTAGATTTAACAGCATGAAATCTGTACCATCCAGGAATCAAAGGATATAGGACTTTAGGGCATCAATTATTAAGAGGCTATAGGAAAGCAGAAATGCTCCTGGATGTTTCCATTGTCCACACACAAAATTTCAACAGACCAGCCCCAGGAAGTAAAGGCACATTCCTGACTACTGTTAGTTGATGAGCTTTTCACCAAAAGCAGAGATGTGAGACCTGGCAGGTTTCAAAGACCCCTCAAGTGCTCCATACCTTGAAATTCACTTCCACAAAGCTAGAACACCATCTGTTCCTGAGGGATCAGGTTATCGTCTGTTTCTTTTAGGCACTGGCCAGTCAGGCTTTAGTGGACACGAAGCCACAGATTTTTAGTGTAAAATGCCTAATCTATCATAATCTTTAGGTAGATATTTGGAGGCCTGCACACTTAAATGGGTTGGTGAAATGTCATACCAGACACATGGCTGGGAATTGGGTTTTTCTCCTCCGCTCTTAGCAGCACCTTTGTAACCCAGTGATTACCCCCCTCATGGCTCCACGGCCACATCCGCAAAAAGGGTACTGGTGAACGTGACATTTTCACGAAGCCACAGCCCATGGTCACTCCCTGCAAAGCTCTGAACTTGCGCATTCCCAGGCCAGGCCGTGGTTGTCTTTCCAAGGCGGCTCAGCTTGTGCTTTGCTTGGAGAGAGCGGAGGGCAGCAGCACAGTGACAGCGTCTGGGACCTCAGACCAGTTTCCACAGCCACTTATGAAAGCAGACGGCTCCATGGGCTGGAGGAGGTGGGACGCTCTGGAAAGAACTCGGGTGCGAGTGGGAAAGAAAATCGAGCTGAGCAGCTGGAAGTCGAAGTCGCGTGAGTGAGGACCAGACACTCTCGATTTAGGCAAAGGCGGGGTGCACTTCCCAACAACACATCCTCCTCACTGGCGAGACCAGGCCTGCCCTTCAAGTTCCTCTCCTGATTTAATCCCCTTGGCGAGGGTTTGGCATGAAATCAATGGCCAGCAAGCTTGGTAAACGAAGCCGCCTACACCGCCCTCCCCCTCCCTGCACGGCCGCGCCCCGCCTCCGCTCCTGTCTCAATCTGGGATTGTCCTCCTGTAGCCCCACCATCCACCGTGGGGAACGGTGGAGAGACTACAACTCCCAGTATGCACCGCGATGCGCGCCTCACCCTGCATCTCCCAGCCCGCAGCCAGCTGGCATCCTAGACCCTCTGCCCTGCGACCAACAGCCGGGAGCGGACCAGACACCAGAACTCCCGGAACGGTTGAAGACGGTTCCGCTCCCTGTCCCGCCTTTCGCAGCCCAGCAGTTTCGCCCTGCGGAGAGGAGCCTTGCTGTTTCCAAATCTCTCCTGCTGAAGAGACATTGGAGCTAGGGCGGCTAGTTTCACCTGGTAATTGTGACACCCTGTCTCCTCGAGCTGCAGGCTTTTATGCTTGTCATGTTCGAAGTTTGATACCTTGCAGATCAACAAAGGGCCGGTGGCCTCTCACTGCCTCCGCGGCAGGGTTGTCAAGGTAACGCTCCTCAGACAAGGGTGGGGCGCGACCCGCCCCTTTTCTCACCCCGCCTCCTCCTCAGCCCCACCCTCCTTCGCTCCTCCTCTTGTCACTCCCTTTCAGACATGCGCAGTGCGGCCCGTCCCTAGGGCTGGGTTAAGGGCCGCGGATGTGGCAGTTCTCAGGCCTCTTGGGATCGCCTCAAGAAGCCCCCTCACGAGTGTCTCGATTTCCTGTCAGCCAACAAAGGGCCGTTCGCCTTTCATGGCCTCCACAGCAGCGTTGCCGTGGTAACGATCCTCCGCCGGACGTTGGCCGCACCGCGCCCCTATTCTTGCCCATCTCCCGCTCCGCCCCGTCCCTTCTCGCTCCTCCCTCTTGTCACACCCGTTCAGACATGGGTAGTGTAGCCCGTCCCTAGCGGCGGGATAAAAGTCCTGCCCTTTCACACATGCGCAGTGCACCCATTCCTAGGGGTGGGGCTAAGGGGCCTGCCCTTTCGGAAATGCGCAGTGCAGCCCGTCCCTAGGTGTAGGGTAATGGCGGCCGACCTGGAGGCTCCTTGGGATCCCCTCGAGAAGCCCGTTCATGAGTGTCTGAAACTGTCACTTGACTGCCAGAAGTGAAAACATCGTGTCCCTAGTCACCTGCCATTTGCCTTTTCAAAACCATTTCCTCTGTTCTCTAGGCTGTCACAAATCCTCTGCACCCCAGGAGCGCCGCTTGGACCCCCGGGCTCGCTGCGTGGTCCATATCTAGGTCGGGCCTCTCACGGAGACTTTCCCACCAGTGTAATAAAGAGGAGAAAACGTCACAGCGGAAGGGCCTGACCCTGCTGCATCCACTAAGGAAACAGCTACGGGGATGGGACCCTGGGAGCTGCTGTGGAGCCTCATCCACCGCTTCTCTGACCCCACCCAGGCTGCTTCCCAGGCCTCAGGGTCTTAGTGTGGACCTCCGGGCCGTGATTAATGCAGGTCAGCAGGACCAGAGCGCCCCTTGGTCCCTCCCAACACATGAGGGTAGTTTGTGTGGTGAGGTCAGGGATAGTGTCTGCGCTTCTACCCTGAATAGGGCTCCCTTGGAAAATACTTTAATATCTCTTTTTAAATACCCCCTTGGACCACTTTTAATAGTTTTCTGATAGAACTAAACAGTGATCATTCTCTTAATTCATGTTTCCATTAAGTTTTTCAGGTTAAGTACTGCACGACTACTCGCTTCTGAAACTGATAGACACTGCCTCAGCTCCGTGCAGGGCAGACGCACAAGAGCAGAATCTCCGTGGGACATCTCTCTGGAGCATCAATATTACTGCAGTATTTGGAAGAAACAAATTTAAATAAGTTCTAAGGTGAAGAATGGAACATTTAAGACAAGTCTGGAAAGTCATCTGCCTTTAATAACTGTCGTTTGTCCTTAACGTCAGACTTTCTCCAAGACCAAAACTCTAAGAACTTATTTCCATTCTTACAAATAGTAAAAATGATAAATCATATCAAGTCAATTGAAAGTCCTGCCTGCTGCTTTCCTAAATTGCAATATGGCCTTGGTATGGTTTTATTTGTACTTTTGTGGGGGATTCGTGGATCTTTAGATTAAAAAAAAAAAAATAGGTTTTTGAACAATTTTTGCAAGTTTGCAGCTGTTAGTTATTGATTTATTTTTCCAACCCATCTAATTCTTCTGTCTCTCTCCTCTCCTCAGGCTCAATAATTCCATGGGTCTCTAAGGCTGTGTTTATTTTCTTTAAATTTTGTTGATTTACTTTTATACTCCATTTGATTTTTTCTATCTCTCACCTTTTCTCAGACTCAGTCATCCCACAGGTCTGTAAGGCTCTGTTCATTTTCTTTAAACTTCTTTTTTTTTTCCTCTCCTCAGATTGGATAAATTATATTGCTATGTCTCTGTTTCTGAACTATAGAAAAGCTCAAAATTATTATTTTTATTTCTCATTTTTTATATGGCTATTTTTTCTCTGCTGATGTTTCACATCTATTCATTTATGAGAATATTTTCCTTTGCCCTCATGAGCGTGTTTATAATAGCTGCCTTCAAATTCTTGTCTGCCGTTTACATCTTGGACATCTTGGAGATGGCTACTGCCTGCTTTTTATCTTGTGTATTTATTACATTTTCACGTGTCTTCACGCATCCCTTGAATTGGAAATTGTGCCCTGGAGACTGTATACAAGACTGGATTAAAAAGACTGGATTCTGTTTTGTCCCTGTGAAGAGTGTTGTTTTTAAAAGATGGTGTTAAATGGGCTGGATTCTATCTTCAATACTTATCTCTCCTATGGAAGTCATAGCCAAAATATGCATTCAGTTTTTATATACACATATTTCATGTATGTATTGTATATAGAAATGTTTCTATAATGATATATAATAATTTACCCAGGATTCATCATTTTTCTGTGTGAGAGTGTTAGTTCAGTTAGCTACTTCATCATTAGTGGAAGCCAGAACCTCAGTTTTGATTTTTGAGTGTAATATAAAAAATTACACAGTATGGATACTTTTACATCAATTTTTTAATGCAATATTATATTTGTGATATTTATGCTGTTACAGATATCTACAGTTTGTTCATTTAAAAAAGTCCTTTTTTACATTGTGGTAAAATATACATAAAATTAACCATTTTAACAATTTTTAAAAGTGCAGGACAGAGGAATTAATCATACTCACATTGTTCTACAACCATCATCCACATTCATAGGGAAATTTGTTCATTTTGCAAAACTCAAACTCTGTTCCCGTTACCTTCCTTTTGGCCTCTAGGAACTACTCTTCTACTTTGAGTTTCTATGAATGGAACTACTGTAAGTACCTCATATGAGTGGAATCATACAATGTAGTAAAGAAGTCACGAGGAAGAATAATACACACTGTATAACATGCTTATTAATTTAAATAAACAGAGATCAGTAGTACATGGTGATTATAGAGAAAGACAGATAAAAAAGAAAAAGCAGTTAGAAGGGTGTGTAAAATTTATCACTATGGTGTCTCAAGTTTTAGAGCAGTGAGGCCCCGGCCCCAGACACATTACTGGTCATGGTGAAGCTGGGAGCCCAGTGCAGCTGTCTGACTCCCAAAGCCAACACTCAGGCCAAATGTCACTGAGCCCTGAGGCACTCTGCCCCTGCCAGCCCAGGCACTCAATGGCCCTGAGATTCACCATGGCCTGTTCTTGGTCTTGAGGGTGTTGCTGGCCTGCTGGAATAGGGGCCCGTCTGACAAAACAAGTAGGAGGAGCTTCAGAAAATAGTGGCAGCTGTGAGGCTACCAGGAGCCACACCTCAGGCTTCCCACTGCCTGCCCAGGGTCCCCATGCAGCAGGCCTAATGTTGACCAGGGAGCTATGGCCCCAGGTTCTCTGAAGCTGGCCACAAGATAGAGTCTTCTCCTAGTCTTTGCTAATCTGCTAGGCCCTCATCTTTTATTCTGACTGTGCAGCTTCATGCACTGGAACCAAACCCCAAATTCCTCCTCAGTCAGAAGATGACGATTATCTCTTGTCACTGAAGCAGCTGCATTTCCTGGAGGACTTTGATCTGGAGACAGAAGGAAGGGCAGGATTCTGACAGGTCCTGGGTGGAAGATGACAAAGGGAACTTGTGGGGGTGTGAAGGGGTAGGGACAATTTCTAGGGCCTTTCTTTTAAGGGGTCCTACCCTCCCCTCCAATCCCATGTAGCCCCAACCTGTTCTCAAGAGTTGGATATAAACAGTCCCTCCTCTAGGAGTTTATCATTGATTCTATTCCCCTAATCAAACCCTCCATTGGGATGGGGCTCCTGCTTCTCTGTGTATCAAACCTTCCCAATAAATCTAAGATGCAGAGGATGGAGCCAAGGAGTGTCTTCCTCAGGGTGGTGTCTGACTTTCACATCCCCACCCTCCCTCAAAGCGACAGCGCCAGCTGCTCACCTTCTTCCTTTATTAGTGTTGATTATATGTTCTTAGGAGGTAGACAGCCAAGATTCATGAGAAAGGCTTCCTGACACAGGACTAGACCTCATCCCTTATACTTCCTATGCTGCACCACCACCAGGGCCACCAGGGTCAGAGCATGTGCATAAAACAGGACTTAGACCTGCATCAGGTTCTGGGCTCCACAGAAGGGACACTGAGGCTCAGTGACCTTTCTCCCTGATTCTCTGTGATGATAGGGAGACAAAGGCCTTGGAAACAAAGAAGTTACTCAACAATTTAGGACCTGCCTGTCTTAGGAGGGGCCCAATTTCTCTCTTCTGCAATGGGTACCAGCTAAGGCAGAGGCTGAGACTTAGCTCTGCAGCTTTACTACTCAAGGAACAGGAAATGGTGTCTTTGCTGGAGGCTCCGTCACTCATAGATAAGACGGAACTGACACTGCCATTTACAGGGGCATCTGGTAGGCTCTCAGGAAAGGGGTTTGCTGAGTGCTGCAGTCTCAGGATTCAGTCCAGGACTCTGTCCTCGCAAGCTTCAGGATCCTGGTCCCCACCCTGCCTGCCTGCCCCAGTCTCACTCACATCTCTATAATCCTCTATGGCAATTTCCAGCATCTGCAGGTTGTTGAGAAGTGTGCCCGGGGTGGGGGGTGGGGGGGAGGGGAGTGGGGGCACAGCAGCCTGTGTTATCAAGGTGGTAGCAGTGATGAGCACCAATTCTCAGCTAACTGCACAAGACCTCTCCTTTGAACTCTCACCAACCTATTTCTCCTTGACCCCCGTACCCAAGTCTCTCACTCAGAGCATCCAAGGACCTTTCACCTCCTTGCCCAAAATCTTTCCCTCCTCTTTCCACAGCTGACCTCCAAAGACGCTAAGCACTTCTTAGTTACCTCTATGGTGTGATTTTAATAAATCACAAAGTCAGATCGTCCCCACCCTCACTCTTCGTCTAATCTACTCTGAGCCTAGCTCTCCCAGGCCCTTTCTCTAGTCTCTCTAATGAAGGCATTCCAAGCATTGTGGCCACAGGAGGGCAGGGCTGGAGGAGGAAGACACCCAGGTCTCTTGATGTGGAGAACTCCAGCTGGGAGGGAGGAGCCCTGTCCTTGACTCTCTGGAGCCCCTCCCTACCATAGGCCAATTCACCTGCTGCTGCAGCCCCATCTGGACTCTTTAAAAAGGTTCCTACCTAGTAGAGTCAGAAACAGGGTCAGTGAGACTGTGCCTGTCTCACAGTTACACTCCAGCCCCAGCGACCTCAGATCTTGGATAACTGCCTGAGTCAGCCGGTGTAATGCTCCCACCAGCTCCAGTGAGTCCTGATTCTAGATTTACTCCCAGCTTTAACACTCACTGTGTGTGTAACCTTGGGCATGCAGCCAGGCCTTCCTGAAACTGTTTTTTCATCTAGGAAGTGTGATGAGAACAACACCTTCCTCACAGTACCTCCTGAGGACTCAGTTGCATGTGGCTATCACCATTGTTCTCACCATCATCCCTCTCAGGAAGAGGTGGGCACAAGAATTCTGAAGTTTCCTTCATCCTTTGCCCCTTATCATGACCCTGTGAGGCCTGCACAACAGGCTTTCTGCATTTTCCAGTTGAGGAGACAGGCCCAAAGAGGGTGTTGACTTGCCCAGGAGCCCACAGGAGAGGCTGTCTTCTCCTCCCACCTGAAGAGTCTGCCCTACCTGGCTTCACACCACACACCAGCACCATCACTGACCAGGGTCCCATCCTCTGGACTCTGGGATAGATGTTCACATCCCAATCCAGGCCCAGCTGTGGTGGAAAGAAACCTGGTATCTTGGGAGGCCTGGTTGAGCAGTGCCAGCTTGTCCCAGCTTCACTGGAATTGCTATCCCACAAATTGGGTTTGAGGCTATGAAGAAGACTTCACCTCTTCGATGATCCACCGAGAGAGATTCCCACACAGAGCTCTCTCTTTATCCACTCCCTGCAGTTGGCCTGCCAGTGAAATCACACCTGTGCAGTAGTCAGGCCTCCTGGCCCACCCGCCAGCTGCCAGCCTCCAGTGTCTCTGATACCCATGGGTAATCATGCCTTCCTTGGCAAGGCTGCTGAGATTCAGAAGGACCTAAACAGATCTTTGGCTCAGATGGGTTGCTTCAGCCTTGTGTCCTTGGCCATCTTCCCTTGCCTTCCGAAGGTCCCTGCCAGCCTCACTGTACCAAGCCCTGACCCTAGCGGTCTCTCCGTGGGGACCACATCTCACCCACCCTCCATTGCCAGGGCTCCTGCTCAGCTCTTCTCACTTTCCCAGGACAAGCCTGGCTTCACAGACACATCTAGATCCAGCGCTTTTCTCTTTGTGGTGTTCAAAGAAAGAGTATTATTTTTTTCTCTAAATTGACCTATAACCTACTTATTTTGAAGATGTCCAGGCTGCAGGAGATCTCTACCCATCTACCCAGAAGGCATCAGCCCTTGCTTCAGTACCTTCTCATTCCACTCTGTCACTAAATGTTTATGACCTCAAGAAAATTTGAAGAAGCATAAGCAAGTGCAATTCCATTGGTACCAGGGCTGTAAGGGCGGGGCCAGATGGGTGAACCTCACTGGGGATAAATAGAAATTGTGTACAAGATGGACATTTCAAGGTTGGTTTCAAGAAACGCAGGGAAAACTAACTTTCATAGGTGACAGTATGCACAAGTTAAGCTTCCTAACAGCCACAAGTTCACAGGTTCTTCTATCTAAATGTGGCAATGTGTGACGATGTCTGAATGGCCATAATACACATACATAGAGTAATTTATAGCATTCATTTTTGTATTAGAAATTGTGCATTTCAGCCACAAGTTTTTTATACATGATGGATAGTCCCACATTGCTTGAAGATTGGAAGAGAGAGCACTTTATGAAATGTCCTTTTGGACACATTTTCATTGACGTTTCTATGTCCCAAGAGGCAATGAGACAAGTCATGATAAACTGGCCGTGTCTTCTGGGGTTACACCTGAACTTCTTGGTGTCAGGACCGAGGAAACCAAGGACACAGATATGCCAAAGGTGAGGTTAGAGCAAAAGTTTAATGGGTGAGAAAAAGAGAACAGCTCTCTGCTGCAGAGAGGGATCCAGAAAAAAAGAGTTGCCATTCTGCAGTGAAATACAAGTGTTTTTATAGATGAGCTAGTGGGAGGGGGTATGTTATCCACATAGGGCATGAAAAAGTGGTTAGGACCAGGTGTGTCATCTGCTTAGAGCATGAATCTCTGGCAGCTCACACCCCAACCTTTTATTATGCAGGCAGATTCTCAGCCTGAGCTACTCCAAGTTGCTTATCTCTTTTCTACTGTGCATATGCTACAAAGAGGGGTGGGGCCCCCCATGTTGGATATGTCTGGCCCAAGGTGGTCATTTCTACCCATGCAGCTGCAGGCATCCCTGCCCACACAAGCTTCCAGCTTCCTTTTGTATGATTGCAGCCCAATTTTCCAGGCTGCTCTTTGTTAAAGAGAAGTGAATTCCTGGGTTGCTTTCTGTTAGAAGGGACGTTCTGTTGAGAACTCTTTGCTCTATCTGCCTAGCTAGTTTCTTTCTACATCTGCTCTCAATGACAATTATTCAGTTTTAATGGGGTCCTGGGGGTGGGAACAGATAAATTTGAGACCACAAAGTACCTTAGAATAAGAATTCACCCTTTAGTCAGCTTTAGTGTGAGTTGCACATCTATTATAATATTGGCTTCATGCACTACTGAATATAACAAGAAGGGAAAATGTGTATCTTTTAAAAATCTAGATGACAAATGGACTTTCCACAGATTCTTTGTGTGTTCCTGATTTAGAACTTGTTCATTCCACTGTAGTTTGTTTTCATTGAAATCACCAACTGATGAGGAAGCCTAGGCTGGCAAGCAGGACACGGTGGATTATTTGCAGGAAAGGTGTTTTTGTGGGGACCCTAAAGGGTCAGGCACTGCAGCCCACAGGAAAGCCTCAGCCATGATTCTCTGTGGCGTTGCCCTGGTGGGGTAAGG
The DNA here is from genome assembly GCF_000001405.40 of Homo sapiens. NCBI lineage: Eukaryota > Metazoa > Chordata > Mammalia > Primates > Hominidae > Homo > Homo sapiens. The sequence continues at coordinate 33,369,205 of NC_000016.10, forward strand.
CAGCCATGCAAAGCTCTGATTCCCTGTCCTGAAGGGTGACATTGGCCGGGCAAGCCCCAGCCTTCAGGAAAAAAGGACAGACAAGGGAGTGCTTCACGTTCCGGCCTTGTTCCGGCCTTGTCATGAGCTCCACCGGCAGCCTGCAGTGGGGCACAGCTTCTAGGTGCCTGGTCAGCTCTGGTCCTTCAGGAGGTGAAAATGACTTTTCTCCTGGATTCTCTGCCCTGTTGGCTGGGCCTGGGAAGGACTCAAGGTCTGCATGGCAGTTTCTGAGTCTCCAGCACCCAGCTGTCTCATTGTGATGATGACAGGGAGAATGGCCAGAAGTACCGGGGTGGGGAAAACGAAGAGCCAGCAGGAGAAGGCGAGCTTCCAGAAAGCCCCACCACAAATGCTTAGTGCCTGGGTAGGCACAGGGATTGCTGGGTTTTGCCTGGGAGCAAGTCCATAGGCCCTGCTGGAGATTGCCAAGATAACCACCCCCTGCCAGAGGTCACCAGGGATTGCCTGAAAACCTTCGGAAATGGTGCATGCCCCTATTGCTCAAAAACTGGAAGAAGCTGCAGCCTCAGCAGGTTATCCAGGCCACTGAGTGGGGCAGCGGGCCTACACTGAGTGCACTCCTACATTGGCAGTAGGCAGCTCTCCTGACCCATCCACCAGCTGTCTGCCTCCAGTGAGCAAGATCTTCAAGGCTGATCAGACCTCCAGTTGGCAGGGCTGATGAGATTCAGTGCGACCTGGTCAGATCTTTGGCCCAGATGAGTCACTTGAGTTTCAGTGTCCTGGACCAACTTTCCTGGACTTCAGAGGGCCCCTGCCAGCCTGAGTGAGCCAGGCTTGGCTGCATCTTCCTGGGAGCCCCATCTCACCTGCCCTCCATCCCCAGGGCTCCTGCTCAGCACTTCTTACTTTCCCAGGACAAGCCTGGCTCCAACAGACATCTCTAGATGCTGTGTTTCTCTTTGTGGTGAGCAAAGAAACAGAATGAGTTCCATTTTTTAATTTTTTTCTAATTTTACCTATAACTTATTTATTGTAAAAAGGTTTGGGCTGCAGGAGACCTGACCCACCCACGCAGGAGGCCTCAGTAGCCTCCCAATCCACCCTGTTACTAAATATTTCCACTCCTAACAATATAGGGGGAAGCAGGAGCAAGTGCAGTTTCACTGCACCAGTGCTGTGAGGATGGGGCCAGAAGGGTCCTGCCCAGTAGGATTCAATAGGAATTATATAGAAATAAACATCTCAATGTTTGTTTGGACGGATTGACATGGAGAAATTTAATTTTGATAGGTTCTAGTACACAGAAGTTAAGCTTCCTAACAGCCATGAGTTTACAGCTTCCTCTTTCTGAATTTGGCAGTGTTTTTTGATGTCCAAATTGCCACGATGTCCACACATATTTACAATAGTTTATATTATTCATTTTGTATTACTAATTGTGCACTTTGGCCAACAGTGTTTCATACATCATGGTTGGTTTCCAACCTTGCTTGAAAATTGGAAGTGACAGCCCTTTATGGAATGTTGCTTTTGACACTCTTCCATTTAAGGCTCTGTGTCCCCACAGTGCTACGAAGACAAATAGTCATCACTCTTCCATTTTGAGGGGGCCAGGGTAAGCAGGTGCAATTTGAGAATACAAAGTACCTTGGAAACAGAATCATCTTTCAATCAGTTTTAGTGTGAATTTCATTTACATTAGAATAGCCTGTTCATGCACTCACAAGATTTCAGGGAGGGACAATTGTCACCTTTGAAGAATCAAAGTGACCAACGGGCTTCCCTCAGTATTTTGTTTATTTGTTTCTGGAACTTAGTCATGCCATTGTAGATCGTTTCTTTTGGAATCACTGGGTGATGAGAAACCCCAGGCTGGAGAGCTGGACACCGTGGAGTCCCTGTGGGAGAACTGTTATTAGGGTGGCCTAACTTGGAAGGCACTACAGCCTGTGGGAAAGCAGCATCCAAGATTCTCTCTGGCGTGGCCGGGTGCTGGGTGAGGTAGCCAGCCCAACAGCTTATTCTGTTTCTGGAATGGTGACTCCCAGCCTGGGCATGGCTTCAGTTTCCAGGAAACAGGCATGGGCCAGGGAGCGCCTTACCTGTTTACTGCTGCGATGTGTGGGGCCTGTATCCGCCACTGGGCACTCCACCTCTTCAAGTGGGGTCCTGTGCATTCCTTTTGGAGGCTTCAAAAGACTTTCCTCTCTGACTCCCGGCGTCTTCACCTGGACACTGTAGGACCCCAGATCTGTGTGTTTCCCAAGTGTCTATAGCGCCAGGTGCCCCATTGTGACAGGGAAGATGACCAAATTAAGTGATTAGGGCCGTTTGAAAAAAAAGCAGGAGAGATGCTGTATGGAGGAGGCCTGACATGACTGCCTCTAGCCTGCGGCTGCTGGTGCCATGCACAGGCCGGACTGGTCTCTGCCAGGGTGATGTGATCCGTTGTGCTGAAGATTCTCACCATTTCCTTCCTTTCCCCATCGGGGACACCTGGGTAACCAGCTGAAGCAGTAGTTCCCCATCCGGAACAAAGACTGCAGACCCTCGCATGGGCTCCAGCCTGCAGGACACAAGCGTGAGCCTTGGAGGACCCCACATACCTAGGTGGTTGTGGGCTAGACCTGTGGCCTTCGCTGGGTTCTTGACTCATTTCTGGAGTGCGAGGGTTTTGTTCTTTTTCAACTGGAGGTGGCAGATGACTGTCCTTCTGGACTTCCTATATGCTCACCTGACCCCTGCGGGACCTGAGATCATTGGGGTTCCCAGGTCTTTATGGCATCACGCCCCCATTGTGACAACAAGGAGGATGACCAAAAGTATGCCGGTGGTTGAGGAAGAGAAAAAAGAGGAGTGGAGTTGCAGGGAGGAGGCTCGAAAGGATCACCTCCAGCCTGGGGCAGCTGGATTGGCGAGTCAGGGGCTGGCTCCTGCCTGGGCAAGACAATAAGCCATGATGAACAATGCCATTATCCTCCTTTTCAGTTGGGGGTACCTGGGCATATCTGAAAACCTTGAAAAAGTGTTTGCATTTTCACAGCTTAAGAAAAGGAAGCAGCAGCAGCTACAGTGGGTTTTTCATGCCTTCCAGTGGCATTGAAGAACCTGCACTGAATGCCACCTGGAAAACAGCCTGGACCTGCACCTTTGGGCCGGGGCACCCGTGGGAGCTCAGCCCTTGCCGCCTCAACCCTTTTTGGATTCTTTTCTCCCCAGACTGTCCCAGAGTTCAGGTCTTCTCATCTCTTGTCTGCCCAGTGAAGGCACAAGGGTGGAAAGGTGAGGGTGTGGAGTCAGGAGCTTTGTTCCAGTGCTGGGCATAGTGAGAAGTCAAAAGAGAGGTTATGATCTCATTGTGCTTGAAGGGGAGAGGCCAAAGCCTAAGACATTCTGCCTTTTTAGGGGAATTACCTTTCAAGGCTTATTTGGTCTTCACTAGCCTTTACATCTGAGGATGAAGGAGTTGAGGCTCTGTTACATGGATGTCTAAAGAGATCATAACTCTCACATTGAACGACACAGAGACTGATAGCTCTAGCACAGTACCTAGGTAATGTGACTCTCTCTTGCTACGTGTGCCCTTCCTACATAAGGAAATGTGACATACCACTGGGCCAAGCACCCAGGAAATGTGACTCTCCCGCCTGTGGCCTGCCTGTATTGGGCAATGTTGTGACACATCTCAGAGCTGAGCACCTAGGTGATGTAACTCCTTTTTTGGGAGCTGTCAATGGAAGGGATTGTGACATATGTTTGGCCAATCACCTAGATGATGTGACTCTCTTGCCTATAACTCAAATTGGGGAGAAATTATATCTTGACAATATTGAGATTTTATGATCATGCACATTAAATGTCTTTCTATTTATTAAGATCTTTTGTGATCTTTCATGGCTCTTTCATTAGAAATTTGTAGTTTCCATTGTATATAGATCTGTGTGTCACAAAGGTCTATATGACAAAACTGAGACAAAGACAAACTGACGGATTCTTCCAGTTTTTGTGGATGGCTCTGGGCTGGGGCGTTCCTTTAACACATGTGCAGACTGTTGAAAACTTTGCTTCAGTCTTCACTTTCTGCTGAGCTGAGCCTGAAGGTCAGCCAGTGCTGAAAATGAGGGTCTTCTTGGGTCTTTAAGAAAATGTGTTTTTCGTGGTTATGCACAGAGTGCTTTGTCAATTTGCCAGCATACCTGGGTGCTTTTTAATAGCCTAATTTGTAAAACAAAACAAAATCTCACGTTAGCTTTTTATTCTTGGCTTTATGTGACCTATTGTATGTGTCGTCTGTAATCTGTTCTCCAGGGGGCTGCTGGCTTTCAGTTTCCTTAAAATACTCCCAAGTAACTCGTGCCAATTTTTTAAACTGATTTTTTTTTCTGACTTAGAGAAAAAAGAGAGCCTTGTTTCAGACCTCTGGATAGCCCTAATACAGATTTTAATGTAACAACACAATACTTTGCAAGTAAGACCTCCTCTTTTCCCTCTGGAACCACTGAGCAGAGGCCCATACTGGCAACTCAGGATGTTGTTTTTAAGACTGCCATCAAGTAAGGGAAGGATTTGGGCAAGGACGTGTAAAAAGTCCACGAGGCTTTTCTCCTGTTCTTCATTGTTTTTCTTGATTTTGTAGTTACATGGTTGCTGTACAACTTGATGGTTTTCAACAGGTTTTACAACATCGTTTCTGACAGTTCTGCTTGGTTTTCCCTGTTTCTGTGGAGGAGCAGGTGTTTGGAGCTGTACATTCTTGACATTTTGCTGATTTTACTCTCTCTGGGTTCTCAGTTGTATTTCATTGATCTAAATGACTTTCCTTGTGTCGTTACTACACCATCTTGATTAAGGTTGCTTTGAGGCAAATTTTGAAGTTGTAATTTGTGAGTCCTTTTATTTGGCATCTTTTTAAAGATTTTTAAAGATATTCTTAGTCCCTTTTAATTTTATATGAATTTCAGCATCAATGCTTCAGTTTTTACATGGTAGTCACCTTGAATTCTAATTGTACTGAATCTAATTGTACTGGATGTAGACTGTTTGGGGAGTTATTGTCATCATAATGTATTAAACCTACTGATTCATAAACATGGAATGGTTTCTCATTTATTTAGATCTTCAACCTCTTTCGATAAGGTTTGTAGTTTTCAGATTATAAGTTCCTTTCACATTTTTAAAAATTTATTTCTATGATTTATTATTTAATTGCTATTGTAAATGGATTTGTTTTTGCCTCAACTGCATTATTAGATATTTCATTGCAAGTGTATAGAAGTAGAATTGATTTTTGTATAATAATTTTGTACCTCTGACCTTGGTGAATACATGATCTTGGTTGCTTCCAAGTTTTGTGAAAACTACAATTAATATTGCTGTAAACTTTTTTGTGCAGGTTTTTGTGTGGACTTACATTTTCAATTCATTTGAGTAAGCTAACCTTTAGGAATTTGTTTGGAGTTCAGAAGACACCACCCTGCCACATAAGATCGAGTTAAGAAAAACTCATTTTGTGCAAATCAAGTTTATATGGGCCTATGATGAGGTTCATGGAAAAGCACTGTGTATAGTTGTGTGAATTTGAGCCCAGTGATTTATTATGTATTAATCTTGCCCTGTGTAGCAGATGTTCTAGGAGGTGCTGCAATGACTAAAACAAAACAAATAATTCTGCCCACTTGAAGCTGATATTCTAGGAAAAAATAAATATATAATACAAGTAAAATAAACAATGTGTAAGATAGTGGTTACTGCTAATGTGGGAGGAGAGTGTGGTAAAGAGAGCAGAGGTCTAAACTGGGTGTCTCTCTGAGCATTTATTTATGTGTTTCAGCTGCTAACTCTGACAGTTAACAAGCTTGCGTGTCTTTGTCTGCGTGTATCCACCTTTATGTGCAGTGAAAAGTCTGCTTTTGTATTTATGCCTGGGTGCTATGTGTGTATTTGCTTTAAAATCACTAATACTTTTATGTTCTTGCCTAATTTCCTAGCTAACAGCTTTTTTTTTACCATGTTGAATAGATGTCGTGAGAACAGACATCTTTGTCTTATTTCTGATCTTAGGTAGAAAGCATTTTGTCTTTTAACATCAAGTATGATGTTAGCTGTGGGGTTTTTATAGATGTCTTACAATATCTTTTCTATTTCCAGTTTATTTAATGTTTTTATCATGAGGAGTGTTGAAGATTTTCAAACCTTTTTACTTTGTATTTTCCCTATATTAATACCTTGCCAGATGTATTATTAGAGTATTGTTATGGAGTATGTTCTATTATTCAGAGTTGTCCTGTTACTCTATTGATAGTGTCCTCTGAGAGACACTATTTTATTTCATTTGTTTGTAGTCTCTATCCCAGTACCACACTGTTTTGAGTAACATGACTGTGAGTAACTTTTGACGTTAGGAAATTTCTCATTATGAAATTAGAGCTCTGAACATTTTTATCTCTTTTTTTTGCGATCGTTTTGACTATTCTTGGTTCCTTGAGATTTCACTTGAATTTTAGAATGTTAGTTTCTGTTTCCATTTAAAAAAAGTTATTGGGCTTTTGATTGGGATTGCACTGCATTTATAGATAATTTTAGGAGAAATTGCCACATTAGTACTTTTAAGAGAGTTTCCAAGATGGCTTACTGGATGCAGCCAGCAAGTGTTGCTCCCAAAGAGAAAGACCACAATTTTGACTACATCAACATAGTTTGAATAGATATTTGGAGAGAAAATGGATAGTGTGGATGGAGAAAAGGTGCGTTTTCTAAGACTGAAGAGCAAGGAAGCTGGGGTGCCCTTATGGGGTGCCTGAACGCTATGACTGCTTTTTGGCCCTGAGTGGCATCTGGGGAAGAAGTGAGTAAAGGGACTGGGAGGCTGCTCACTCTCGCTGCAGACCACTGGGATCCTGGCTGCAGGAAACTCCACACCCCCATGGACATGTGAGTTGGCAAGGAGATCTCCCTGGAGAGTAGATGGAGATGGAGCTGTAGCAGGCACAGAGCCAGGACTTTTTAGCATGGGTCGGATCTGGTGGAGCTCAACCATAAAGTCCCACCTCTGCAGCTGCCTATCTCTCTCAGAGGCTTTGGCCCCAGCTAAACTGCAGGGAGAAAGCAAGGCCTGCTTACCCGCAGGACTGGGACATGTCTATCCTGTAGGCATGCCTGTCCACCAGCCTCTTACATGGCCCCTGCCTGGCTTCCTGGGAGAAGCATGTATACATTGTAGTTTCTGCTACCCAACCTGGATGCTTGGCTCCACCTGAATGCATTCTGGCAGCCCAGAAATCCCTCAGATCCCTCACCACACTTGGAACCTGGCCCTAAGCATCAGGAAGAGGGAGTCATAAGCAAGTCGTGGCACTCCAGTGCTGTGGCCTGTGGTTCAGGAGTGTCAAGCTGGGATCTGTGCTGGGCAGTTGAATGGGGGAGGAACCCACACTCTTCAGAAACTGAGAGGCCAGATTCACACAGGTTCACAGGCTGGCGTGGGCCCTAGGCACACCTCCTTCCACAGGGCTGTTATGGTAAAGATGCAGGGTATTTTTCTAGAAGACATCTCCCTGAGGAAGCCCCACAGCTTGAAACACCTAACAACAATGACAATAATGATAATGATAGTAATAGGCCGGGCGCGGTGGCTGACGCCTGTAATCCCAGCACTTTGGTAAGCGGAGGCGGGTGGATCACGAGGTCAGGAGATCGAGACCATCCTGGATAACACGGTGAAACCCTGTCTCTACTAAAAATACAAAAAAATAGTCAGGCGTGGTGGCGGGCGCCTGTAGTCCCAGCTAGCCGGGAGGCTGAGACAGGAGAATGGCATGAACCCAGGAGGCAGAGCTTGCAGTGAGCTGAGATCCTGCCACTGCACTCCAGTCTCTGGGCGACAGAGCAAGACTCTGTCTCAAAAAAAAAAAAAAAAAAAAAAAAAAAAAAGGAGATAATGATAGTAATAATAATGGGCATAGTGCCAGTGATTGGAAGTGAGTCTCTCAAGACTCATGAACAGACCTGTACCACAGAACATAGTTGCAAATAAAGAAGATACACAAAGGAACTGCATGGTAAAGAACCTATCTACATCCCACTGCTCTCAAGTGCTATCTACTGGATCGCAGTAGAGATTACACCACCAAAAATCACTTTACTAATTCTTCCCCTGTGAAACCAAGAGCAAGAATTCAACAACAAAGACACTGTACAGAGTCCTAGTCCTCTGAAAACCTTCAAAAAAAGAAAGCCAATAGACTATACTCAATTTATACCCCAATTAGAGGTATACCAGTTCTCTCAGATGAGAAAGAATTGGCTCAAAATCTCTGGCAATGCAAAAAGCCAGAGTGTCTCCTTCAAGAGAGCCCACTAGTGCCCCAGTGATGGTTTTTAACAGTCTGAATTGTCTAAAATGACAGACATGGAAAAAAGAGCAGGGAAACTCATTTAGATTGAGAAGAAAGTTGAAACTTAACCCAAGGAAGCCAAGCAATCCGGTTAAATGATTCAAAACCTGAAAGATAAAATAGCAATCTTAAGAAATATCTAAACTAAAAAAATTCTTGAGCTGAAAGATTTACTGTGAGGATTTTATAATAAAATCAGAAGTATTTCCAGCAGAATAGACTAAACTGAGAAAAGAATCTCAGAGCTCAAACACTGTTTTATTGAATCAACATAGTCAGACAAAAATAAAGATAAAAGAATTAAGAAAAATCAACATCCCCATTGAGAAATATGAGATTACTTAGAGAACAAATCTACAATTTATCAACATTTCTGAGAGAGAAGGAAAGAGAATAGGCAAGTTGGAAAATATGTATGAAGATATAGTTCATGAAAGTACCTCTAATCTCACTAGCGAGGTTGCCATTCAAATCCAAGAGAACCCCAGTCAGCCCCTAGTCAGATACAATAATATATGACAGTCTGTATTAGTCAGTTCTCACATTGCTATAAAGAAATACTTGATACTGGGTAATTTATAATGAAAAGAAGTTTGGTTGGCTCACAATTCTGCAGGCTGCAGCGGAAGCATGGCAGCATCAGCTTGGCTTATGGGGAGCCCTCAGGAAACTAACAACCATGGAAGAAGGAAGAGGGGGAGCAAGGCATCTTACATGGAAGAACAGGAGCAACACAGAGAGCGGGGAGGTGCTACCCATTCTTAAACAGCCAGATCTCATGAGAACGTTATCGCAAGACAGCACAAGGGGCTGGTGTTAAACCATTCACAAGGATCTATCCCCATTATCCAATCACCTCTCAGCAGGCCCCACCTCCAACATTGAAGATTACAGTTCCACATGTGATTGGGGCAGAATCACAGATCCAAACCATATTGCTATTTCCATGTCACATAGTCATCAGATTCACCAAAGTCAGTGCAAAAAAAAATTTAAGATCAGTTAGAGAGAAAGGGCAGGTTACTCACAGAGTGAATTCCATCAGACTAGCAGCAGACCTCTCAGCAGACTCCTTGCAACCAGAAGAGGTTAGGGGCCTATCTGCAGAGTTTTTAAAGGAAAAAAAATTAACCAATAATTTTATATCCCTCTAAACTAAGCTTCATAGGTGAAAGAGGAAAAAAAAAATTCCTTTGACAAGCAAATGCTGACGTGATACATTTAAACTAGACCAGCCTTACAAGAGGTCTTTAAGGTAGTGCTAAACATGGATTCAAGTGAATGATATCTGCTACCAAAAAAGCTCACTTAAGCACATAGCCCACAGGCACTATAAAGCAATAATGCAATCAACTCTACATAACAACCAGCTAACAACATGATGGTGAATTCAAAATCACACATATCAATACTCACCTAACATGTAAGTAAGCTAAACACCACAGTTAAAAGACACAAAGTGGCATCCTGGATAAAAAGACAGTACCCATCCATCTGTTGCTTTCAAGACACACCCTTTGCCTCAGAGTAAAAGGGTGGAGTGTATTCTACCATGCAAACGAAACAAAAACAAGCAGCAGTCACTATTCTTATATTAGATAAAACAAATTTAAACCAAAAAAAAAAAAAAAAACACTAAGAGGGACAAGAAGAGCATTTTGATAAAGGGTGCAATCTAACAAGAAGCCTTAACTATCTTAAATATATATGTGATTACCACTGGAGCATCCAAATTCATAAAATGACTTCTTCTTTGCCTACCAATGAAAAGAAGAATAACAAGGGCATATTGATAAAGGATAAAATCCTGTGAGAAGCCTTAAATATCTTAAATATATATACACTTAATATTGGAGCACCCAGATTTACAAAATGACTTTTTCTTTCCCCACAAAAAGGCTTAGACAACATCACAATAGTAGTAAGAGACTTCAACACCCTACTTACAGCATTAGACATATCACTGAGGCCAAAAAAAAAAAAAACTAACAGGAAAACTCTGGAGTTAAACTCCACACTTGACCAATTGGACCTAATAGACATCTATTGAAAACTCCATCGAACAACCACAGAATGTACATTTTTCTCATCTGCACAAAAAAAAATTCTAAGTTCAACCACGTGCTCAGTGATAAATAAAGCCTGAATAGATTAAGGAAAAATGAAATCTCACCAAGCACACTGTTGGAGCACAGTACAATAAAAAATACAAATGCATACCAAGATCTCTCAAAACTACAGAAATACATGAAAATTAAACAACTTACTCCTGAATAAATCCTTTGTAAACATCAAAGTAAGGCAGAAATATAAAAATTACTTGAAATTGATAGAAATAGGAACACAACTTACCAAAATTTCTAAGATGCAGCCAAAGCAGTGTTAAGAGGAAACTTTATAGCCCTAAATGCCTTTATCAAGAAGTTAGAAATGTCTCAAATTAACGATGTAACTTTGCACCTAAAGGAACTTGAAAAAAAGAACCAACCAACCCCAAAGCTAGCATGAGAGAAGACATAACAGCAATTAGAGAAGAATTTAATGAAGTTGAGATGCAAAAATGTATACAACAGTCCAAGAAAACAAAAAATTGGTTCTTCAAAAAAAATTGATAAGCTCCTAGCCAAATTAACAAATATAAAAAAGAAAGAGAAGATCCAAATAAGCGCAATAAAAATGACAGGTTATATTAAAATGGATCAGATAGAGATACAAAAGATCCTCAGCGAGTACTATGAACAGCTCTGCACGCAAATTAGAAAATCTGGAGAAAATGAATAAATTCCAGGAAGCACACAGTCTCCCAAGATGGAATCAGAAAGAGATCAAAACTCTAAGTAGACTAATATCAACTTCTGACATTGAGTCAGTACTAAAGAACCTACCAACAACAACAACAACAACAAAAAGGCCTGAAACAGGTAGATTGGCTGCTGAGTTTTACCAGACATACTAAGAAGAAATGATATCAATCCTACTAAAATTATTTCAAAATATCGAGGCGGTGGGGCTCCTTCCTAACTCATTCTTTGAAACCAGCAGTAGCATGATATGAAAATCTGGCAGAGACACTGTGAAAAAACAAAACTTCAGACCAAGATCCCTCATGAACAGAAAATGTAAAAATCCTCAACAAAATACTAGCAAACCAAATTCAGCACCACATCAGAAAGGTAATACACCATGGTCAAGTAGGCTTTATTCCTGGGATGCAAGCTGGTTCAACATATGCAAACCAATAAATGTGATTCACCAGCTAAATAGAATCAAAAGTAAAAACCATATGATTTTCTAAACAGATACACAAAGGTCTTCTTAATAAAATCCAACACTACTTCATGGTAAAAATCCTCAATAGACTAGGCATCCAAGGAACATACCTTAAAATAATAAGAGTCATCTATGGGAAACCCACAGTCAACATCATACTCAATAGGTTAAAAACTTAAAACTATTTCTATGAGAACTGAAACAAGACAAGGATGCTCACTCACAGCACTCCTATTCAGCTTAGTACTGGAAGTCCTATGCAGAGCAATCAGGCAAGAGAAAGAAAAAGTAACGAAACAGGAAAAGAAGTCAAACTATCTCTCTTCGCTGAAAATATGATCCTATGCCTAGAAAATCCTAGAGATTCTGCCAGAAGGCTCCTAGAATTAATAACTTTAGTATAGTCTCAGGATACAAAATCAGTGTAAACAGTACTGATTATGGTGAAATAAGTAGCATTTCCATACACCAACAATGTCCAGGCCAAGAGTGAAATCAAGAACACAATTCCACTTAAAATAGCCACAAAAAAGAGAAATACCTAGGAATACAGATAACCAAGGAAATGAAAGATCTCTTCAAGGAGAACTACAAAACACTGCTGAAAGTCACACACCTACAACCATATGATATTTGACAAGGCTGGCAAGAACAAGCAATGGGGAAAGGACTCCCTAGTCAATACATTCTGGGATAACTGGCTTGCCATAGGCAGAAGATTGAACCTAGACCTTTACCTTGCAACATGCCCCAAAATTAAATTTAAATGGATTAAAAATTTAAGTGTAAGACCTCAAACTATAAAAATTCTGGAAGATAACCTAGGAAATATTTTTTTGACATCAGCCTTGGCAAGTCGTTTTTGGCTAAGTCCCCAAAAGCAATTGCAACCAAAACAAAAATAGACAAGTAGGACTTAATTTGACTAAATAGCTTCTGCACAGCAAAATAAACTATCAACAGGGGAAAGAGGCATCCTCCAGAATGGGAGGAGATATTCACAAACTATGAGTCTAACAAAAGCCTAATATCCAGACTCCATAGGGAACTCAAATCAACAAGCCAAAAAAAAAAAACCATTAAAAAATAAAAAATGGGCAAATGAGATGAACAGATATGCCTGAACAGAAGATATACAAGTGGCCAACAAACATGAAAAATTGCTCAGCATCAGTAATTATCAGATAAATGCAAATCAGAACCACAATGAGGTACCATCTCATGTTAGTCAGAATGGCTATTACTAAAAAGTCAATAAATAACATGTTGGCAAGGCTGTGCAGAAAAGGAAACACTTTACGTCACTGGCAGGATTGTAAATTAGTTCAGCAATCGTGGAGAGCAGTCTCGAGATTTCTGAAAGAACTTAAAACAGAACTACCAATTTACCCAGCAATCCTACAACTGGGTATATACCCAAAAGAAAATAAATCATTCTACCAAAAAGACATATGCACTTGAATGCATCACTGTGCTATTCACAATAGCAAAGATGTGGGATCAATCCAGATGCCCATCAATGGTATATTGGATAAAGAAAACCTGGTATGTATACACCATGGAATACTACACAGCTGTGAAATATAATGAAATCATGTCCTTGGTATGAACATAGGTGGAACCAGAGGCCATAATTTCAAGCAAATTAATGCAGAAACAGAAAGCCAAATACTGCATGTTCTTACTTATAAGAGCTAAACATTGAGCATATATGGACATAAATATGGGAACAGTAAACACGGTGGACTACTAAAGTGTGCAGAGGGGAGGGCAAGTTAATATACTACATATTGGTTGCTGTGCTCACTACCTATGTGCTCCAAACCTGAGCATTATACAATATTCCTACATAACAAATCTGTGCCTGTAACCCCTGAATCTAAAATAAAAGTTGAAATTTTTTAAAAAGTCTTTTCACCTATGAACAGAAGATACTGTTCCATTTATTTGTACCTTTGATTTCTTACAGCAGCATTTTGAAAGTTTTTATTGTACAAATAGTTTGTCATCCTGGTTAAATTGATTCCAGAGCATTTTATTCTTTTTAATACTGTTGTTCATGGTATTGTTTTCTTAATTTCCTTTTCAGATTAATCATTATTGGTGTGCATCAATGCAACTGAGTTTTGTAAGTTAATTTTGTATCCTGCAACATTACTTAATTTGTTTAAACTGTTTTGAGGTGTTTTTCTGTTTGTACAATCTTCAGAATTGTGTGCATACATGATTACTGTGAACAGAGATATTTCTATTTTATTCTTTTTAACATATGCATTTTTGTCTTTATTTTATTTTTGTTATTGCTTAAGCTAAAGTTTTATATACTCTGTTGAGTGGAAGTGGTAAAAAAGAGGAACTATTTTTAGTTCCTGATATTAAGGGAAAACATTTTTTGTATTTCACTGTTGATTATGTTGTGTGTTTGTACCATGAATGAGTAATATCTTGTAGAATGCTTTTTCTGTGTAAATTGAGATATTGTGGTGTTTAACAGTACTAATGCGGTATATTATGATTATTTGTTTATTTATTTATTATTTATTTATTTTTAGAGACAGGATATTATGATGTTGTTTAGACTGCTCTTGAACTCCTGGACTGAAGTGAACCTATCACCTTAGCATCCTGGGTAACTGGGATTACAGGCACAAGCCACTGTGCCTGGCTACATTTATTGATATTTATATGTTAAAGCATCTTTGCACTTCAGTAATAACTCTCAATTAGTCTTGGTAGATAACCCTCTTATTATTCTGCTAAATATATTTTGCTAATATTTATTTTATAGATTTTATATTATTTATAAAGAACATTTTTCTTCAACTTTCTTTCTTGTAGTGCTTTTGTTCATTTTTTATGTCACTGTAATTTTGGCCTACCTCATAGAATAAATTTGGAAGTGTTTCTGCATCTTCAGGTTTTTGCAAGAGTTTGAGGATAATTGGTAATTAATTCTTAAAATGTTTGATAGATTCAGCAGCATAACAGTTTTGTACTTTTTTTTCTGGAGGGGTGATTTTTGCATCAATCTGCAACTATAGGTCTGTTCAGATTTTCTATTTGTTCATGACTCAGTGTCAGTACATTGTGTATTTCTACATATACATGTGTCGACTTTATCAACATTATTCAATTTCCTTGTGGTCTCTTAGAGACTTATTTAACAAGATCTGAGGCATACAGTTCTTTCAGTTGTATTCTGCTACCATGTATTTATTCTGCTGTTGATGTAGTGGTTATGTGAGAGCTTAGGCAAAGCACTCTATTGACTTATGCATTAGCCTCATTAAAACAAATCAAAACAAAACAGTGTATCCCTAGGCTGTGAATTTCATGAGGACTTCTCACTCTTTACCTCTCTTAACTGGATCAAGAAGGTTAGAGGGGGATGGAATTGGGCATTTCTCTTACTCCAGGAAGTCTGGCTCTGGTAAAATCTCAGTTGGTTAGGCTTTTGATACATAGTTTATATTGAAGATAGGAATGTTAAAAAGAAAATTTTCTGGGAATAGTTAAAAATGGCTACATTTCCCTTCCTCCTACTGGAATCAAGAAGCATTTTTTCTATCATCTTCCCTGTAAAAGCCATGTCATGTTTCTGAAAGTAAAGTTCATAAATTTGTATACCCTGAAAATGTTAATTCTCAAACTTTTAGCCATTCATCAATAATGGTTTGTTTTCTTACAACTGTATTTGTTCCCATAGGGGTTTCTTGTGGTTTACTAACCAAGTAAGTTATAATTCTCTGGATGTGTGTGTCCTTCTGTCCAATTTGGGATGGTGATTTGCCCTGTGAACTTATTTTTCTGATAGATGTTAGGAGAATTGCTGGCCTATGTTTCCCTTTTTACTTTCGCTGATGCGAATGTCACCTTCTACGTCCTTACTTGCCAGGCTGACCAAAAGGAACTATCTTCATTTTTTGATGGTTGTCTCTATTTTTAATCCTAAACCGTGTGTGTGTGTGTGTGTGTGTGTGTGTGTGTGTGTGTGTGTATAAAATAATACAGTAAGAGGAAACCTGGGTGGTCCCTTTTCTGGTACCAGCAGCAGATTGAAACCATTCAAACCCCTGTCCATGGGAATAAATTCTCACCCTAGCATGCCACCTACCCTCAATAAAAATCCAGGCCTGGCTCCTTTTCTTGCACATTCAAGCCATGTCAGATCACCTTGAAAGGCCTTCCTACTTACCTCACAAATGTAATTTATGTGAGTAGTAATTTCTTACCCTCTTAAAGCCACATCTTTGCAAGTGACTAACAATTGGTGCCATGAGCAGACTGTTCAGACATTGCCCACCAACCTGAGGATCTGTCTTCTCTTGCTAAGTTGCTCTGCTGCTTAATGTCTGGCATGTACTTTGACCTGCTGCTTCCGGAGGAGTTAGTGCTTTGAGCTGTGCCGCTCTGTTTATTGTTCTGCCAAATTTGTGAACTAAAAACTCAGACTTCCACATTACAGGGGGAAATGACACAAATCGTGGGGTTTGATTCAAACATAATAAATCTTTAAATTTTTATCATGCAATATAGTCACAAACGAATGAATAAAACATTTATCATAAGTTTTAGTGATAATAATGAAAACATTCTTAGAATCAAGATTTATTACATATATTTATAATATATATATAATTAATATATATAATATATAAATATATTTTATATTATAAATATATATAATTATATATAAATATAATATATATTTATAATATTTTATATAGAAATATATATATTTATAATATAATTATATATATATTTTTTTTGCCCCCGCCGCCGCGGATTCTTGCCCCCGACGCCACGGCTTTTTGCCCCCTACGCCGAGGCTTTTTGCGGCTTTTTGCCCCCGCCGCCGCCCCTTTTTGCCGCCGCAGTTTTTTGCTCCCGCCACCGCGGCTTCTTGCCCCCGCCGCCGCGGCTTTTTGCGGCTTTTTGCCCCTGCGGCATTTTGCCCCCGCCGCCGCCGGTTTTTGCCGCCGTGGCTTTTTACCCCCGCCACCGAGGCTTTTTGTCCCCGCCGCCCCAGCTTTTTGCCCCCACCGCCGCCGCTTTTTGCCACCACCGACGCGGCTCTGAGGGCGGGAGCGGCACACTCGGCTGCCGGCTCTACCGGCGTCCTTGTTCGGGCGGAGCCGAGGGGCGCTCCTGGTCCAGCTCTCCCGGCTCGGGGGTTCCTTGCCTAGGCGCCCGCGCCCCGAGCTCCCCGCCTTGGCCGCTGCGGCCTGCATAGAGCGGCGCTGCGCGTAGCGGCCAGGGGAGAGAAGAAGGAGGGCGGTGGCGGGGGTGATGCGGCGGCCTCTTTGGGAGGCGCAGGGGCCGCAGCCAGCCAGACGCTGCAGCAGTGTGGGCAGCTCCAGAAGCTTGTGGGCAGCTCCAGAAGCTTATCCGCATCTCCATTGGCAGCCTGAGCCGGTTGCGCAACAAGTGCGCTGTGTCCAAGGACCTCACCCAGCAGGAGATACGGACCCTGGAGGTAAGGGGGTCGTGGACCCAGGCTGGGCTCGAGGAGCGGCCCAGACACCTCCCTCCGTGCCCGAGTTCACTCCTGGCCGAGTTGCATCCTTGAGCCCGAGTCGCCCCGTTGGAGGCTTCCCCTCCCTCCTGCACTCGCTGATGCGGCAGCCGGAGGACCCGGGACCAGCCCTCACCTTGGGCAGGATCTGTGGGGCGGGTGCGTCGTGGGAACTGGCAGGGAGGCTTGAGGGGCCCATGGGCGAGGTGGGCTGCGAGCGGACATCCCCTTACCCCCTGAATTTCCATCTGGTCCAGCCCTCTCATCTTGTGGGTGAGGAAACCGAAGGCCTGAGGGAGAACTGACTTGCCTGGAACCCCTGTTAAGGAGAATTAACAAAGTGTGGTTATTAAAGGAGCACTGAGTTGGGAGTGAGACCTGGAGGCCCACACCCTTGGTTAAGACATAATACCACCTTGAGTCTGGCCTGTTGACTGAGGGTGAGCCACTCCATCCTCATCTGATTGTGGGGTCTTGACCTCAAGGGGTTGCCTGAAGGAAGAAGCACATGGGTTTGCTTTCCTAGCTCTGTCCAGTACCTTAGGGACCCTGAGGACTGGAGAGATTCTTGGAGAGCCATCTGGTGTATATCATGGGTGGGCCTTTTTTGAAGGTCAGTCTGCCCAGTGGGCTGGCTCAGCCCCAATGAACTGTCTTGAATCTTTGGAGTTGTCTGGGTACTTTTAAGGGCTTCTCATCCTTGCACCAAAAGATCCCCTGGAAATTAGGTGGGAAAACTTTAACTTTTGTGGGGCCTTGTGTTTGTCTTAAAAGTTCATGCACATGGCCAGATGTGGTGGCTCACACCTGTTATCCTGTCCTGGATCCCTTGAGTCAAGGAGTTTGAGACTAACCTGGACAATATAGTGAGACCCTGTCTCTACAAAAAATAAAATATTAGCCAGTGGTGGTTGTGCACATCTGTAGTCCCAGCTACTACTGTGGCTGAGGTGGGAGGAGCACTTGAGCCTGCACTGAGCTGTGATCTCAGCAGTGTACTCCAGCCTGGGCCACAGAGCAAGACCCTGACTCAAAAAAAAAAAAAAAAAAACCAACAAGAAAAATACTTGAAGATTTTTGCATTCTGTCCCACTACCCATTGGTTGTCATGTGAAGATAATGTCAGAAATTCTTTACAATTGCTTCCAGAAGGAGTAGCCTTTTGATCTAGTGCACAGGTGTCTTTTGGCTTCTCAGGGTCACATTGGAAGAAGAATGCTCCTGGGCCACATATAAAATACACTAATGCTAACGATAGCTGATGAGCTTAAAAAAAAAAAAGGTTTGTGCATAATTTTCATGATACCCACCACCACAGATAGGTGGAAAAGTCCTTGTAGTCAAAGGGTTGGACGCGGCTGACCTAGTGTCTTGTCATCCGTTTTGGCTTTCTCCCTGATTCCAGAATGCAGGTATAGATGTAGAGACGTGCTCTCAGGACAGCTGTTGAGATAAAAAATTCTTTGTCATTTATTCCCAAGCACAGCTGTTTGTCATTTGCATTGAAAAAGTCTCCATTCAAACTGCTGTCACATATAAAATCTATTTATGTAAGTCTGTATTTTTCTGTTGTCTTGGCCTTTTGGGCAGTAGAGTGTTTTAACCGAGCAAACTGTCCTTCCAAATAATGAAGTCGAAGTCAGCCTACCTGCTTGCCATTTTTCTTCCCCTTCCATTTTTCTAACTTCAGGATAATTGTAAGAATGAATTAAACTTTATGTTGAAGGCCGGGCACAGTGTCTCAGGCCTGTAATCCCAGCACTTTGGGAGGCAGAGAGGGATGTATCACTTGAGCTCAGGAGTTGAAGACCAGCCTGGGCAACATACTGAGACTCCGTCTTGTAAAATTAAATTAAAATGTTTAAAAAGAAGAGAAAAAGACCTGTGTTTAAATTTTAAAAAAGGGGAAATTGTAATGCAAAATGTGGACTATGCCAGCTATGATTGGGAAAAATAATTTTTCCTACAGCATTATCTGTAGACTTGTATTAGCAGCATACTGGTCATAAGCGTTTTGCTTTCCTCAAACATGATGAGGTAAGCTACTTTAAAGTGTGGTAGGGCTGTCTTCCACGTGGCTCCTGGTGGTGTTGAGTCCCAATTTAGCCAATTAATTTGGGTTTAGTTTTGATGTGGATAAGGGAGACCAGCTTCATTCATGGTGCACACACAGTTTTGCCAATAAGGGAAAAAAAAAGCAACCTGAATGTTCCTACTCATTAGATGCTATCTGGAGAGCTCCTACCCCACCCCCACCAAGGCCCAGACCCTTAAAAAGACTCAGTGCAGCCTTTCTGTATCTCATACTGTATTCTGCAAGATGCTCCTGTGAAAGAAAGTTGTGCTGCATCAGCCGTCTCCCTCCTGAAGATCCCTGCGGATGAGGATTTGTGTTTTAAAGGTTCTGAGAAGTCCTGCAATGACAGTCCTCAAACTTATTTGTCCAGGGGATCTTTTCTTCCACTGAACGTAGTTGGGGAGACACGGCCTTAAGCCTTGAGCAGAGAAAGAGACAAGAAGCTGTTGGCTCACTTACAACCAAGTGTTGTGTTTATGTGTTAGGTTTTCATGAAACTGAGGTGCTGTTTGAGGTTCTAAATCAAATTGGGTGGTTGAGGAGAGCCTGGTATCCCTGTAGACTTAGCCAGCCATGAGAGGTTGCCTTTTGTTGAAGGAGGTATTTTACAAAGGGAAGTAGGATGTCTCCTGGGCATCACATTAGCACTTAAATATATGTATCACTGAAATGAAATGAAATGATGAAATGGTGAAATGAAATAATGAAATGAAAGGAAATGATGAAATGAAGGAATGAACTGATGAAATGAAATGATAAAATGATGAAATGATGAGATGAAGTGAAATGGTGAAATGATGAAATTAAATGATGAAATGATGAAATGAAATGATGAAATGATGAAATGATGAAATGAAATGATGAAATGATGAAATGGAATGATGAAATGATGAAATGGTGAAATGAGATGAGGAAATGAAATGAAATGACGAAGTGAAATGATGAAATGAAATGAAATGATAAAATGATGAAATGAAATGAAAAGATGAAATGATGAAGAAATATGAAATGATGAAATGAAATGAGGAAATGAAGTGAAATGATGAAATGATGAAATAATAAAATGAAATGAAATGATGAATTGATGAAATGAAATGATGAAATGAAATGAAATGATGAGATGAAAAGATGAAATGAAATGATTAAATGAAATGATGAGATGGAAAGATGAAACGAAATGATGAGATGAAATGATGAGATGAAATGATGAAGTGAGGAGATGAAGTGAAATGATGAAATGAAATGATGAAATGATGAAGTGAAATGATGACATGAAATGATGAAATGAAATAATGAAAGGATGAAATGATGAGATGAAATGATGAAAGGAAATGAAATGAAATGATGAAATGAGGAAATGAAATGAAATGATGAAGTGAAATGATGAAATAATGAAACTAAATGAAAAGATGAAATGATGAAATGAAATGATGAAATGATATGAAATGATGAAATAAAGTGAAATGATGAAATGATGAAATGAAATTAAAAGAAATGATAAAATGAAATGATGAAATTATATGAAATAATGAAATGATGAAGTGAAATGATGAAATGATGAAATGATGAAATAATGAAATGAAATGAAATGATAAATTGATGAATTGATAAAATGAAATGAAATGAAATGACGAGATGAAAAGATGAAATGAAATGATGAAATGAAATGACGAGATGAAAAGATGAAATGATGAGATGAAATGAAATGACTAGATGAAATCATGAGATGAAATGGTGTAATGATGAGATGAAGTGAAATGATGAGATGAAATGAAATCATGAGATGAAATGATGAAATGATGAAATGAATGAAATGAAATGAGATGAAATGATGAGATGAAATGATGAGATGAAATGATGAAATGAAAGGAAATGATGAAATGATGAAACAAAATGAAATGAAGAAATGAAATGATGAAAGGAAATGATAAAATGATGAAATGAGATGAAATGTAATGGTGAAATGAGGAAATGAAATGAAATGATGAGATGAAATGAAATGAAATGATGAAATGATGAAATGGAATGATGAAATGATGAAATGATGAAGTGATGAAATGGTGCAATGAAATGAGGAAATGAAATGAAGAAATGAAATGATGAAGTGAAATGATGAAATGAAATGAAATGATGAAATGATGAAATGAAATGAAAAGATGAAATGAAGAAATGATACGAAATGATGAAATGAAATGAAGTGAAATGAAATGATGAAATGATGAAATGAAATGATGAGATGAAAAGATAAAATGAAATAAAATGATTAAGTGAAATGACGAGATGAAAAGATGAAATGAAATGATATGAAATGAAATGATGAGATGAAATCATGAGATAAAATGATGAAATGATGAGATGAAGTGAAATGATGAAATGATGAGATGAAATGATGAGATGAAATAATGAAATGAAAGAATGAAATGAAAGGATGAAATGATGAGATGAAATGAAAGGATGAAATGAAATGATGAAATGAGGAAATGAAATGATGAAACGAAATGATGAAGTGGAATGATGAAATTATGAAATGAAATTAAAAGAGGAAATGATGAAATGATATGAAATGAAATGAAATGATGAAATGAAGTGAAATGATGAAATTAAATGATGAAATGAAATGATGAAATAAATGAACTGAAATGATGATGAAATGAAATGACGAGATGAAAAGACAAAATGAAATGAAATGATGAAATGACGAGATGAAAACATGAAATGATGGGATGTAATGAAATGATGAGATGAAATCATGAGATGAAATGATGAGATGAAGTGAAATGATGAGATGAAATGAAATCATGAGATGAAATGATGAAATGATGAAATGCAATGATGAAATGAATGAAATGAAATGATGAAATGATGAAATGACATGAAAAGATGAAATGATGAAATGAAATGATATGAAATGATGAAATAAAGTGAAATGATGAAATGAAATTAAAAGAAATGATAAAATGAAATGATGAAATTATATGAAATGATGAAATGAAGTGAAATGATGAAATGATGAAATAATGAAATGAAATGATGAAATGATGAATTGATGAAATGATGAAATGAAGTGAAATGACGAGATGAAAAGATGAAACGGTGAAATGAAATGAAGAGATGAAAAGATGAAATGAAATGATGAGATGAAATGAAATGACTAGATGAAATCATGAGATGAAATGGTGTAATGATGAGATGAAGTGAAATGATGAGATGAAATGAAATCATGAGATGAAATGATGAAATGAATGAAATGAAATGAGATGAAATGATGAGATGAAATGATGAGATGAAATGATGAGATGAAATGATGAGATGAAATGATGAAATGAAAGGAAATGATGAAATGATGAAACGAAATGAAGAAATGAATAAATGAAATGATGAAATGAAATGATAAAATAAAATGATGAGATGAAATGTAATGGTGAAATGAGGAAATGAAATGATGAAATGATGAGATGAAATGAAATGATGAAATGATGAAATGGAA
Source organism: Homo sapiens (assembly GCF_000001405.40). Taxonomy (NCBI): domain Eukaryota; kingdom Metazoa; phylum Chordata; class Mammalia; order Primates; family Hominidae; genus Homo; species Homo sapiens. Next base: position 33,391,953 of record NC_000016.10, read on the forward strand.
TGATGAAATGAAATGATGAAATGATGAAGTGATGAAATGGTGCAATGAAATGAGGAAATGAAATGAAGAAATGAAGTGAAATCATGAAATGAAATGAAATGATGAAAAGATGAAATGATGAAATGAAATGATATAAAATGATGAAATGATGAGATGAAGTGAAATGATGAAATGATGAAATAATGAAATGAAATGATGAAATGATGAATCGATGAAATGAAATGATGAAATGATGAGATGAAAAGATAAAATGAAATAAAATGATTAAATGAAATGATGAGATGAAAAGATGAAATGATGAGATGAAATGAAATCATGAGATGAAATGAAATCATGAGATAAAATGATGAAATGATGAGATGAAGTGAAATGATGAGATGAAATGATGAGATGAAATGATGAAATGAAAGGATGAAATGATGAGATGAAATGAAAGGATGAAATGAAATGAAATGATGA
>NC_000016.10:34571510-34576805 GCF_000001405.40 Homo sapiens
TGAATCAAATGGAAAGATCATCCAATTGGAACTGAAGGGAATCATCGAATGGGAATGAAAGGAGTCATCAAATGGAATTGAGTGGAATCATCAAATGGATTCGAATGGAATGATCATCGAATGGAATTGAATGGTATCATCGAATGGACTCGAATGGAATCATCATCAAATGGAACCAAATGGAATCATCGAATGGACACGAATGCAATCATCATTGAGTGGAATCAAATGGAATCATTGAATGGCATCGAATGGAATCATCATCGAATGTAGTCTAATAAAATAACCGAATGGACTCAAATAGAATCATCAAATCAAGTCGAATGGAATCATCATCGAATGGAATCCAATGGAATCATCGAATAGCATCAAATGGAATCATCGTCGAATGGATTCAAATGGAATCATCGAATGGACTCGAATGGAATCGTCATGGAATGTAATCGAATGGAACCTTCGAATGGACTCGAATGGAATCATCATAGAATGGAATCTAATGGAATCATCAAACGGAATAGAATTGAATCATCATTGAATGGAATCGAGTAGAATCATTGAATGAAATCGAATGGAATCATCATCGAATGGAATTGGGTGGAATCATCAATGAATGGAATCGAATGTAATCATAGAATGGAATCCAATGTAATCATCTTCGAATTGAAAACAAAGCTATCATTAAATGTACTCTAATGGAATCATCGAATGGACTCGAATGGAATCATCGTTGAATGGAATATAATGGAATCATCGAATGTAATCGAATGGAATCATCGAATGGACTCGAATGGAATCATCATGGAATGGAATTGAAAGGAATCATCAAATGGACTTGATTGAAATCATTGAATGGACTCAAAAGGAATCATCATCGAATGGTATTGAATAGAATCGTTGAATTTACTCTAATGGCATAATCATTGAATGGAATTGAATGCAATCATTGAATGGAATAGAATGGAATCATCATTGAATGGAATCAAATGGAAACCTCAATGAATGGAATCGAATGGAATCATCATCGAATGGAATTGAACGTAAACATCAGCGAATGGAATCGAAAGGAATCATCATGGAATAGATTCGAATGGAATCATTGAATGGAATGGAATGGAATCATCATAGAAAGGAATCGCAGGGAATCATCGAATGGAATCAAACGGAATCATCGAATGGAATGGAATGGAATCATCATCGAATGGACTCAAATGGAATAATCTTCGAAAGGAATCGAATGGAATCGAATGGAACAATCAAATGGACTCCAATGGAATCATCTAATGGAATCGAGTGGAATCATCGAATGGACTCGAATGGAGTCATCATGAAATGAAATCGGATGGAATCAATGAAGGGACTCGAATGAAATCATGGAATGGACTCTAATAGAATCATCATCAAATGAAATTGAATGGGATCATCCTCAAATGTAATGGAATGGTATCATTATCAAAAGAAATCCAGTGGAATCACCAAATGGAGTCGACTGTAATGATTAAATGGACTCGAACGGAATCATCAAATGGAATCGAATGGAATCATCGAATGGAGTCGAATGGAATTGTTGAATGGACTCCAATGGAGTCATTGAATGGACTCTAGTAGAATCATTATCAAATGGAATCAAATGGAATCATCAAATGGACTCGAATGGAATCATCATCGAATGGAATTGAATGGAATCATCGAATGGAATGGAATGGAATCATCCTCGAATGGAATCTAATGAAATCACCGAATGGACACGAATGGAATCATCCAGTGGATTTGAGTTGGATCATCATTGAATGGAATCGAATGGAATCATCAAATGGACTCGAATGGAAACATCTTCGAATGGAATCAAATGAAATCACAATCGAATGGAATGGAATGGAGTCATCATCTAATGGAGTCGAATGGAATCATCATTGAATATAATAGAATGGAGTCACCATATTGAATCAAATGGAAAGATCATCGAATGGAATTGAAGGGAATCATCGAATGGGAATGAAAGGAGTCATCAAATGGAATTGAGTGGAATCATCAAATGGATTCGAATGGAATGATCATCGAATGGAATTGAATGGTATCATCGAATGGACTCGAAAGGAATCATCATCGAATGGAATCCAATGGAATCATCGAATAGCATCAAATGGAATCATCGTCGAATGGATTCAAATGGAATCATCGAATGGACTCGAATGGAATCGTCATGGAATGTAATCGAATGGAATCTTCGAATGGACTCGAATGGAATCATCATAGAATGGAATCTAATGGAATCATCGAACGGAATAGAATTGAATCATCATTGAATGGAATCGAGTAGAATCATTGAATGAAATCGAATGGAATCATCATCGAATGGAGTGGGTAAAATCATCAATGAATGCAATCGAATGGAATCATAGAATGGAAACCAATGTAATCATCTTCGAATTGAAAACAAAGCAATCATTAAATGTACTCTAATGGAATCATCGAATGGACTCGAATGGAATCATCGTTGAATGGAATATAATGGAATCATCGAATGCAATCGAATGGAATCATCGAATGGACTCGAATGGAATCATCATAGAATGGAATTGAAAGGAATCATCAAATGGACTTGAATGAAATCATTGAATGGACTCAAAAGGAATCATCATCGAATGGTATTGAATGGAATCGTTGAATTTACTCTAGTGGGATAATCATTGAATGGAATTGAATGCAATCATTGAATGGAATAGAATGGAATCATCAAATGGAATCGAATGGAATCATCGTCGAATGGAATCGAATGGAATCATCAAATGGAATCTAATGGAATCATCATCAAATGGATTCAAATGGAATCATTTCCGAATAGAATCGAATGGAATCATTGAATGGAATCATTATCAAATGGAGTCCAGAGGAATCACTGAATTGAATGGAATTATCATTGAATGGAATCGAATAGAATCATTGAATGGAATCAAATGGAATTATCATCAAATGGAATCGAATGATATCATCGAATGCAGTTGAATGGAAGCATCAACGAATTGAATTTAATGGTATCATCGAATGGACTCGAAGGGCATCATCGAAGGATCTCTAATGGAATCATTATCAAACGGAATCCAATGGAAGCATTGAATGGACTCGAATGGAATCATCATCGAATGGAATTGAATGGAATCATCGAATGGAATGGAATGGAAGCATCCTCGAATGGAATCTAATGAAATCACCGAATGGACACGAATGGAATCATCCAATGGATTTGAGTGGAATCATCATTGAATGGAATGGAATGGAATCATCAAATGGACTCGAATGGAATCATCTTGGAATGGAATCGAATGAAATCACAATCGAATGGAATGGAATGGAGTCATCATCTAATGGAGTCGAATGGAATCATCGTTGAATATAATAGAATGGAGTCACCATATTGAATCAAATGGAAAGATCATCGAATGGAATTGAAGGGAATCATCGAATGGGAATGAAAGGAGTCATCAAATGGAATTGAGTGGAATCATCAAATGGATTCGAATGGAATGATCATCGAATGGAATTGAATGGTATCATCGAATGGACTCGAATGGAATCATCATCAAATGGAACCAAATGGAAATATCGAATGGACACGAATGCAATCATCATTGAGTGGAATCAAATGGAATCATTGAATGGCATCGAATGGAATCATCATCGAATGTAGTCTAATAAAATAACGAATGGACTCAAATAGAATCATCAAATCAAGTCGGAATGAATCATCATCGAATGAATCCAATGGAATCATCGAATAGCATCAAATGGAATCATCGTCGAATGGATTCAAATGGAATCATCGAATGGACTCGAATGGAATCGCCATGGAATGTAATCGAATGGAATCTTCGAATGGACTCGAATGGAATCATCATAGAATGGAATCTAATGGAATCATCGAATGGAATAGAATTGAATCATCATTGAATGGAATCGAGTAGAATCATTGAATGAAATCGAATGGAATCATCATCGAATGGAATGGGTAGAATCATCAATGAATGCAATCGAATGGAATCATAGAATGGAAACCAATGTAATCATCTTCGAATTGAAAACAAAGCAATCATTAAATGTACTCTAATGGAATCATCGAATGGACTCGAATGGAATCATCGTTGAATGGAATATAATGGAATCATCGAATGCAATCGAATGGAATCATGGAATGGACTCGAATGGAATCATCATAGAATGGAATTGAAAGGAATCATCAAATGGACTTGAATGAAATCATTGAATGGACTCAAAAGGAATCATCATCGAATGGTATTGAATGCAATCGTTGAATTTACTGTAATGGGATAATCATTGAATAGAATTGAATGCAATCATTGAATGGAATAGAATGGAATCATCATTGAATGGAATGAAATGGAATCCTCAATGAATGGAATCGAATGGAATCATCATCGAATGGAATTGAACGTAAACATCAGCGAATGGAATCGAGAGGAATCATCATGGAATAGATTCGAATGGAATCATTGAATGGAATGGAATGGAATCATCATAGAAAGGAATCGAAGGGAATCATCGAATGGAATGGAATGGAATGGAATCATCATCGAATGGACTCAAATGGAATAATCTTCGAAAGGAATCGAATGGAATCGAATGGAACAATGAAATGGACTCCAATGGAATCATCTAATGGAATCGAGTGGAATCATCGAATGGACTCGAATGGAGTCATCATCAAATAAAATCGGATGGAATCAATGAAGGGACTCGAATGAAATCATCGAATGGACTCTAATGGAATCATCATCAAATGAAATTCAATGGGATCATCATCAAATGTAATTGAATGGTATCATTATCAAAAGAAATCCAGTGGAATCACCAAGTGGACTCGACTGTAATGATTAAATGGACTCGAATGGAATCATCAAATGGAATCGAATGGAATCATCGAATGGACTCGAATGGAATTGTTGAATGGACTCGAATGGAGTCATTGAATGGACTCTAGTAGAATCATAATCAAATGGAATCAAATGGAATCATCAAATGGACTCGAATGGAATCATTGGATGTACTCGAATGAAATCATCGAATGGACTCGAATGGAATCATCATCGAATGGAATCAATTGGAATCCTCGAATAGAATCAGATGGAATCATCAAATGGAATCGAATGTAATCATCATCAAATGGAATAGAATGGAGTGATCAAATGGAATCGATGGCAATCATCATCCACTGGAATCAAATGGAATCATTGATGGATCGAATGGATCATGTCAAGTGGAATCGAGTGGATCATCGAAGAA
>NC_000016.10:34580965-34584085 GCF_000001405.40 Homo sapiens
CATCGAATGGACTCGAATGGAATTGTTGAATGGACTCGAATGGAGTCATTGAATGGACTCTAGTAGAATCATAATCAAATGGAATCAAATGGAATCATCAAATGGACTCGAATGGAATCATTGGATGTACTCGAATGAAATCATCGAATGGACTCGAATGGAATCATCATCGAATGGGATCAATTGGAATCCTTGAATAGAATCAGATGGAATCATCAAATGGAATCGAATGTAATCATCATCAAATGGAATAGAATGGAGTTATCAAATGGAATCGATGGCAATCATCATCCACTGGAATCAAATGGAATCATTGAATGGAATCGAATGGAATCAATGTCAAGTGGAATCGAGTGGAATCATCGAAAGAAATAGAATGGAATCATTGTCGAATGGAACGGAATGGAATCAAAGAATTGCATTGAATAGAATCACCAATGAATTGAATCGAATGGAATCCTCATCGAATGGAATCGAAGGGAATCATTGGATGGGCTCAAATAGTATCATCATCTAATGGAATCATGTGGAATCATCTAAGGGACACAAATAGAATCATCATTGAATGGAATCGAATGGAATCATCTAATGTACTCGAATGGAATCACCATTGAATAGAATAGAATGGAATCATCGAATGGAATCGAATGGAATCATCATCATATGGAATTGAGTGGAATCATCGTATGGACTCGAATGTAATCATCAGACTGGAATCAAATGGAATCATTAAATGGACTCTAATGGAATAATCATCGATTGGAATCGAATGGAATCATTGAATGGACTCCAATGGAATCATCACCAACTATAATCAAAAGAAATCATCAAATGGATTCGAATAGAATCATCTAATGGACCCGAATGGAATCATCATCGAATGGAATCATCAAATGGACTCGAAAGAAATCATCATCAAACGGAATCGAATGGAATCATTGAATGGAATGGAATGGAATCATCATGGAATGGAAAGGAATGGAATCACGGAATGGACTCGAATGAGATCATCATCAAATGGAATCGAATGGAATCATCTAATGAACTTGAAAGGAATCATCATCAAATGAAGTCAAATGGAATCACCAAATCGACATGAATGGAATCATCATTGAATAGAATCGAATGGAATGATTGAATGGGCTAGAATGGAATCAAATTGAATCATCATCGAATGGAATCGAATGGAAATGTCAACCAATTGAATCAAATACAATCATCATGGAATTGAATCGAATGGCTCACTGTCGAATCAAATCAAATGGAATCATCATCGTATGGAATTGAATGGAAACATTGCAAGGAATTGAATGGAATCATCATTGAATGGAATCGAATGAAATCATCAACGAATGGAATCCAATGTAATCATCATAGAATTGAAACCAATGGATTCATTAAATGGACTCGAATGGAATCATCGAATGGACTCGAATGGAATCATCATCAAATGAAATAGAATGCAATCATCAAATGGAATCGAATGGAATCATCATCGAACGGAATCTAATGGATTAATAGAATGAACTCGAATGGAAACATCGAATGGAGTTGAATGGAATCATCATCGAATGAAATCGAATGGAATCATCGAATAACATCGAATGGAATCATCCTCAAATGGAGTCTAATGGAATCATCAAATGGACTCTAACGGAATCGTCATGGAATGTAATTGAACAGAAACTTCTAACGGACTCAAGTGGAATCATCATCGAATGAAAGCGAATGGAATCATCATCGAATTTCATCGAATGTAGTCATCATCATATGGAATCGAGTGGAAGCATTGAATGGGCTCAAAAGAAATCATCGGAGAATGGAATTGAATGGAATCATCAAATGGACTCGAATGGAATCATCATCAAGTGGAATCAAATGGAATCATCGAATGGACACGAATGAAATCATCGTTGAACGGAATCGAATGAAATCATCGAATGGACCCGAAGGGAATCATTATCGAATGGAATTGAATGAAATCATAATCGAATGGAGTCGAATGGAATCATCATCGAATGGAGTCGAATGGAAACATCACTGAATGGAATCAAATGAAATCACCGAATTGAATCAAATGGAATGATCATCAAAGGGAATCAAAGGAAATCATCGAATGGGATCAAATGGAGTCATCGAATGGAATCGAGTGGAATCATCGAATGGATTTGAACAGAATCAACATCGAATGGAATCGAATGGAATCATCGAATGGACTCGAATGGAATCATCTAATGCACTCGAATGGAATCATCTAATGCACTCGAATGGAATAATCATCGAATGTAATCAAATAGACTCATCCAATGGAATCAAATGGAATCATCAAATGGAATCGAACGGAATCATCATCAAACGGAACCGAATGGAATCATTGAATGGAATCAAAGGCAATCATGGTCGAATGGAATCAAATGGAAACATCATTGAATAGAATTGAATGGAATCATCACATGGAATCGAATGGAATCATCGTAAATGGAATCAAGTGGAATCATCGAATGGAATCTAAGGGAATCATCGAATGGGATTGAATGTAATCTTTGAATGGATTCGATTGGAATAATCATCGAATGGACTTGAATTGAATTATCGAATGGATTTGAATGGAATCATCATCAAATGGAATCCAATGGAATCATCGAATGGAATCGAATGGAATCATCATTGACTTGAATTGAATGGAATCATCAAATGGACTCGAATGGAATCATCATAGAATGGAATCGAATGCAATTATCGAATGGACTTGAATGAAATCACCTTTGAGTGGAATCAAAGGGAATGATTGAAAGGAATCGAATGCCATCATCATCAAATGGAATCAAAAGGAATCATCGAATGGAATTGAATGGAATCACCATTGAATGGACTCGAATGGAATCATCATCGTATGGAATCGAATGGAATCATCATCATATGGAAACAAATGGAATCATCGAATGGACAAGAATGGAATCATCGTCAAATGGAATCAAGTGGATCATCGATTAGCAACTAATGGAATCATTGTTGAAAGAAAGGGAATGGGATCATTGAATGGGAATGAGTGGAATCACCAATGAATGCAATCCAATGGAATCATCATCAAATGGAATAGAATGGAATAATGGAATGGAC
>NC_000016.10:36260628-36261158 GCF_000001405.40 Homo sapiens
TGATTTATACTCATTTGGGTATATACCCAGTAATGGGATGGCTGGGTCAAATGGTATTTCTAGTTCTAGATCCCTGAGGAATCGCCACACTGACTTCCACAATGGTTGAACTAGTTTACAGTCCCACCAACAGTGTAAAAGTGTTCCTATTTCTCCGCATCCTCTCCAGCACCTGTTGTTTCCTGACTTTTTAATGATTGCCATTCTAACTGGTGTGAGATGATATCTCATGGTGGTTTTGATTTGCATTTCTCTGATGGCCAGTGATGATGAGCATTTCTTCATGTGTTTTTTGGCTGCATAAATGTCTTCTTTTGAGAAGTGTCTGTTCATGTCCTTCGCCCACTTTTTGATGGGTTTGTTTGTTTTTTTCTTGTAAATTTGTTTGAGTTCATTGTAGATTCTGGATATTAGCCCTTTGTCAGATGAGTAGGTTGCGAAAATTTTCTCCCATGTTGTAGGTTGCCTGTTCACTCTGATGGTAGTTTCTTTTGCTGTGCAGAAGCTCTTTACAATGACTTTCTTCACAG
>NC_000016.10:36311158-36314088 GCF_000001405.40 Homo sapiens
AGCATTCTCGGAAACTTCATAGTGATGTTTGCATTCAAGTCACAGAGTGGAGCATTCCCTTTTACAGAGCAGGTTTTGAAACAGTCTTTTTCTAGTATCTGAAAGTGGACATTCCGAACGCTCTGAGGCCCATGGTGAAAAAGGAAATCTCTTCCCATGAAAACTAGACAGAAGCATTCTCAGAAACTTGTTTGTGATGTGTGTACTCAACTAAGAGAGTTGAACCTTTCTTTTGAGAGAGCAGTTTTGAAACACCCTTTTTGTAGTATCTACAAGTGGATATTTGGATAGCTTTGAGTATTTCGGAGGAAACGGGGATATCATTATATAAAAAGTAGACAGAAGCATTTTCAGAAACTTCTTTGTGATGTACGCATTCAAGCCCCAGAGTTGAACATTCCCTTCCATGGAGCAGGTTTGAAACACTCTTTTTGTTGTATCTGGAAATGGACATTTGGAGCGCTTTGAGGCCTACGGTGAAAAAGGAAACATCTTCACATAAAAACTAGACAGAAGCATTCTCAGAAACTTGTTTGTCATGTGTGTACTCCACTAACAGTGTTGAAGCTTTCTTTTAATAGAGCAGTTTTCAATCTCTCTTTCAGAAGAATCTGCAAGTGGATATTTGGATAGCTTTGAGGATTTCCTTGGAAACGGGAATAGCTTCATATAAAATCTAGACAGAAGTATTCTCAGAAACTACTTGGTGATGTTTGCATTCAGGTCACAGAGTTCAATATTCCATTTCATAGAGCAGGTTGGAAACCCTCTTTTTATAGTATCTGGAAGTGGACCTTTGGAGCGATTGAGGCCTATGGTGAAAAACAAAAATTCTTCCCATAAAAACTAGACTGAAGCACTCTCAGAAACTTGTTCCTGATGTGTGTACGAAACTAACAGAGGTGAACCTTCCTTATGGTAGACCTGTTTTGAAACACGCTTTTTGTGGAATCTGCAAGTGTATAATTGGATGGCTTTGAGGATTTCTTTGGAAACGGGAATATCTCTCTATAAAAAGAAGAAGCATCCTCAGAAGCTTCTTTATGAGGTTTGCATTCAAGTCACAGTGTTGAACATTCCCTTTCACAGAGCAGGTTTGAAACATTCTTTTTATAGTATCCGGAAGTGTACATTTGGAGCGCTTTGAGTCCTATGGTGAAAAAGGAAATATCTTCCCATAAAATGTAGACAGAAGGATTCTCAGAAACTTGTTTGGGATGTGTGTGCTCAACTAACAGTGTTGAACCTTTCTTTTGATAGAGCAGCTTTCAAACACACTTTTTGTAAAATCTGCAAGTGGATATTTGGATAGCTTCGAGGATTTCGTTGGAAACGGGATTATCTTCAGATAAAAAGGAGACGGAAGCCTTCTGGGAAACGACTTTGTGATGTTTCCATTCAAGTTTCAGAGTTGAACATTCCCATTCATAGAACAGGTTTGAAACACTCTTTTTGTAGTATCTGGATGTGGACATTTGGAGCGCTTTGAGGCCAACGGTGGAATTGGAAATCTCTTCCCTTAAAAACTAGACAGAAGCATTCTCAGAAACTTGTTTGTCATGTGTCTACTCAACTAACAGAGTTGAACCTTTCGTTTGATAGAGCAGATCGGGAACACTCTGTTTGTAGAATCTGCAAGTGGATATTTGGATAGCTTTGAGGATTTCAGAGGAAACGGCAATATCTTTATATAAAAAGTAGACAGGAGCATTTTCAGAAACTTCTTTGTGATGTATGCATTCAAGTCCCAGGGTTGAACATTCCCTTTCACAGATGAGGTACGAAACCCTCTTTTTGTAGAATCTGGAAGTGGACATTTGGAGCGCTTTGAGGCCTACGGTGAAAAAGGCTATCTCTTCCCCAAAAAGTAGACAGAAGCATTCTCCGAAACTTGTTTTTTGATGTGTGTACACAACTAACAGAGTTGAACCTTTCTTTTGATAGAGTAGTTTTGAAACACTCTTGTTGTAGGATCTGTAAGTGGATATTTGGATTGCTCTGAGGATTTCGTTGGAAAAGGGATTATCTCCATATGAAAAGCAGAAACATTCTCGGAAACTTCGTAGTGATGTTTGCATTCAACTCACAGAGTTGAGCATTCCCTTTTACAGAGCAGGTTTTGAAACAGACTTTTTCTAGTATCTGGAAGTGGACATTCCGAAGGCTCTGAGTCCCATGGTGAAAAAGGAAATCTCTTCCCATGAAAACTAGACAGAAGCATTCTCAGAAACTTGTTTGTGATGTGTGTACTCAACTAAGAGAGTTGAACCTTTCTTTTGAGAGAGCAGTTTTGAAACACCCTTTTTGTAGTATCTACAAGTGGATATTTGGATAGCTTTGAGTATTTCGGAGGAAACGGGGATATCATTATATAAAAAGTAGACAGAAGCATTTTCAGAAACTTCTTTGTGATGTACGCATTCAAGTCCCAGAGTTGAACATTCCCTTCCGTGGAGCAGGTTTGAAACACTCTTTTTGTTGTATCTGGAAATGGACATTTGGAGCGCTTTGAGGCCTACGGTGAAAAAGGAAACATCTTCCCATAAAAACTAGACAGAAGGATTCTCAGAAACTTGTTTGGGATGTGTGTACTCAACTAACAGTGTTGAAACTTTGTTTTGATAGAGCAGCTTTCAAACACTCTTTTTGTAAAATCTGCAAGTGGATATTTGGATAGCTTTGAGGATTTCATTGGAAACGGGATTATCTTCATATAAAAAGTAGACGTACCGGTACCTCAGATGGAAATGCAGAAATCACCCGTCTTCAGCTTCGCTCACGCTGGGAGCAGTAGACCGGGGCTGTTCCTATTCGGCCATCTTGGCTCCTCCTCTGAAACACTCTTTTTATAGTATCTGGAAGTGGACCTTTGGAGCGATTGAGGCCTAGGGTGAAAAACAAAAATTCTTCCCATAAAAACTAGACTGAAG
>NC_000016.10:36314188-36334460 GCF_000001405.40 Homo sapiens
AGCACTCTCAGAAACTTGTTCCTGATGTGTGTACTCAACTAACAGAGGTGAACCTTCCTTTTGGTAGACCAGTTTTGAAACACGCTTTTTGTGGAATCTGCAAGTGGACACTTGGATGGCTTTGAGGATTTCTTTGGAAACGGGAATATCTCCATATGAAAAGAAGAAGCATGCTCAGAAACTTCTTTATGAGGTTGGCATTCAAGTCACAGATTTGAACATTCCCTTTCACAGAGCAGGTTTGAAACATTCTTTTTTTAGTATCCGGAAGTGTACATTTGGAGCGCTTTGAGTCCTATGGTGAAGAAGGAAATATCTTCCCATAAAATGTAGACAGAAGCACTCTCAGAAACTTGTTCCTGATGTGTGTACGAAACTAACAGAGGTGAATCTTCCTTATGGTAGACCTGTTTTGAAACACGCTTTTTGTGGAATCTGCAAGTGTATAATTGGATGGCTTTGAGGATTTCTTTGGAAACGGGAATATCTCTCTATAAAAAGAAGAAGTATTCTCAGAAACTACTTGGTGATGTTTGCATTCAGGTCACAGAGTTCAATATTCCATTTCATAGAGCAGGTTTGAAACCCTCTTTTTATAGTATCTGGAAGTGGACCTTTGGAGCGATTGAGGCCTATGGTGAAAAACAAAAATTCTTCCCATAAAAACTAGACTGAAGCACTCTCAGAAACTTGTTCCTGATGTGTGTACTCAACTAACAGAGTTGAACCTTTCTTTTGATAGAGCAGTTTTGAAACACGCTTTTTGTGGAATCTGCAAGTGGATACTTGGATGGCTTGGAGGATTTCGTTGGAAACGGGAATATCTCTCTATAAAAAGAAGAAGCATCCTCAGAAACTTCTTTATGAGGTTGGCATTCAAGTCACAGATTTGAACATTCCCTTTCACAGAGCAGGTTTGAAACATTCTTTTTTTAGTATCCGGAAGTGTACATTTGGAGCGCTTTGAGTCCTATGGTGAAGAAGGAAATATCTTCCCATAAAATGTAGACAGAAGCACTCTCAGAAACTTGTTCCTGATGTGTGTACTCAACTAACAGAGTTGAACCTTCCTTATGGTAGACCTGTTTTGAAACACGCTTTTTGTGGAATCTGCAAGTGTATAATTGGATGGCTTTGAGGATTTCTTTGGAAACGGGAATATCTCTCTATAAAAAGAAGAAGTATTCTCAGAAACTACTTGGTGATGTTTGCATTCAGGTCACAGAGTTCAATATTCCATTTCATAGAGCAGGTTTGAAACCCTCTTTTTATAGTATCTGGAAGTGGACCTTTGGAGCGATTGAGGCCTATGGTGAAAAACAAAAATTCTTCCCATAAAAACTAGACTGAAGCACTCTCAGAAACTTGTTCCTGAGGTGTGTACTCAACTAACAGAGTTGAACCTTTCTTTTGATAGAGCAGCTTTCAAACACACTTTTTGTAAAATCTGCAACTGGATATTTATATCTTCGATTATTTCGTTGGAAACAGGATTATCGTCATTTAAAAAGTAGACGGAAGCATCCTCAGAAACTTCTTTATGAGGTTTGCATTCAAGTCACAGATTTGAACATTCCCTTTCACAGAGCAAGTTTGAAACATTCTTTTTATAGTATCCGGAAGTGTACATTTGGAGCGCTTTGAGTCCTATGGTGAAAAAGGAAATATCTTCCCATAAAATGTAGACAGAAGGATTCTCAGAAACTTGTTTGGGATGTGTGTGCTCAACTAACGGTGTTGAACCTTTCTTTTGATAGAGCAGCTTTCAAACACACTTTTTGTAAAATCTGCAAGTGGATATTTGGATGGCTTCGAGGATTTCGTTGGAAACGGGATTATCTTCAGATAAAAAGGAGACGGAAGCCTTCTGGGAAACGACTTTGTGATGTTTCCATTCAAGTTTCAGAGTTGAACATTCCCATTCATAGAACAGGTTTGAAACACTCTTTTTGTAGTATCTGGATGTGGACATTTGGAGCGCTTTGAGGCCAACGGTGGAATTGGAAATCTCTTCCCTTAAAAACTAGACAGAAGCATTCTCAGAAACTTGTTTGTCATGTGTCTACTCAACTAACAGAGTTGAACCTTTCGTTTGATAGAGCAGATCGGGAACACTCTGTTTGTAGAATCTGCAAGTGGATATTTGGATAGCTTTGAGGATTTCAGAGGAAACGGCAATATCTTTATATAAAAAGTAGACAGGAGCATTTTCAGAAACTTCTTTGTGATGTATGCATTCAAGTCCCAGGGTTGAACATTCCCTTTCACAGATGAGGTACGAAACCCTCTTTTTGTAGAATCTGGAAGTGGACATTTGGAGCGCTTTGAGGCCTATGGTGAAAAAGGCTATCTCTTCCACAAAAAGTAGACAGAAGCATTCTCCGAAACTTGTTTTTTGATGTGTGTACACAACTAACAGAGTTGAACCTTTCTTTTGATAGAGTAGTTTTGAAACACTCTTGTTGTAGGATCTGTAAGTGGATATTTGGATTGCTCTGAGGATTTCGTTGGAAAAGGGATTATCTCCATATGAAAAGCAGAAACATTCTCGGAAACTTCGTAGTGATGTTTGCATTCAACTCACAGAGTTGAGCATTCCCTTTTACAGAGCGGGTTTTGAAACAGTCTTTTTCTAGTATCTGGAAGTGGACATTCCGAAGGCTCTGAGTCCCATGGTGAAAAAGGAAATCTCTTCCCATGAAAACTAGACAGAAGCATTCTCAGAAACTTGTTTGTGATGTGTGTACTCAACTAAGAGAGTTGAACCTTTCTTTTGAGAGAGCAGTTTTGAAACACCCTTTTTGTAGTATCTACAAGTGGATATTTGGATAGCTTTGAGTATTTCGGAGGAAACGGGGATATCATTATATAAAAAGTAGACAGAAGCATTTTCAGAAACTTCTTTGCGATGTATGCATTCAAGTCCCAGGGTTGAACATTCCCTTCCATGGAGCAGGTTTGAAACACTCTTTTTGCCGTATCTGGAAGTGGACATTTGGAGCGCTGTGAGGCCTACGGCGAAAAAGGAAACATCTTCCCATAAAAACTAGACAGAAGCATTCTCAGAAACTTGTTTGTCATGTGTGTACTCCACTAACAGTGTTGAAGCTTTCTTTTAATAGAGCAGTTTTCAATCTCTCTTTCAGAAGAATCTGCAAGTGGATATTTGGATAGCTTTGAGGATTTCCTTGGAAACGGGAATAGCTTCATATAAAATCTAGACAGAAGTATTCTCAGAAACTACTTGGTGATGTTTGCATTCAGGTCACAGAGTTCAATATTCCATTTCATAGAGCAGGTTTGAAACCCTCTTTTTATAGTATCTGGAAGTGGACCTTTGGAGCGATTGAGGCCTGTGGTGAAAAACAAAAATTCTTCCCATAAAAACTAGACTGAAGCACTCTCAGAAACTTGTTCCTGATGTGTGTACTCAACTAACAGAGTTGAACCTTTCTTTTGATAGAGCAGTTTTGAAACACGCTTTTTGTGGAATCTGCAAGTGGATACTTGGATGGCTTGGAGGATTTCGTTGGAAACGGGAATATCTCTCTATAAAAAGAAGAAGCATCCTCAGAAACTTCTTTATGAGGTTGGCATTCAAGTCACAGATTTGAACATTCCCTTTCACAGAGCAGGTTTGAAACATTCTTTTTTTAGTATCCGGAAGTGTACATTTGGAGCGCTTTGAGTCCTATGGTGAAGAAGGAAATATCTTCCCATAAAATGTAGACAAAAGCACTCTCAGAAACTTGTTCCTGATGTGTGTACTCAACTAACAGAGTTGAACCTTTCTTTTGATAGAGCAGTTTTGAAACACGCTTTTTGTGGAATCTGCAAGTGGATACTTGGATGGCTTGGAGGATTTCGTTGGAAACGGGAATATCTCTCTATAAAAAGAAGAAGTATTCTCAGAAACTACTTGGTGATGTTTGCATTCAGGTCACAGAGTTCAATATTCCATTTCATAGAGCAGGTTGGAAACCCTCTTTTTATAGTATCTGGAAGTGGACCTTTGGAGCGATTGAGGCCTGTGGTGAAAAACAAAAATTCTTCCCATAAAAACTAGACTGAAGCACTCTCAGAAACTTGTTCCTGATGTGTGTACTCAACTAACAGAGTTGAACCTTTCTTTTGATAGAGCAGTTTTGAAACACGCTTTTTGTGGAATCTGCAAGTGGATACTTGGATGGCTTGGAGGATTTCGTTGGAAACGGGAATATCTCTCTATAAAAAGAAGAAGCATCCTCAGAAACTTCTTTATGAGGTTGGCATTCAAGTCACAGATTTGAACATTCCCTTTCACAGAGCAGGTTTGAAACATTCTTTTTTTAGTATCCGGAAGTGTACATTTGGAGCGCTTTGAGTCCTATGGTGAAAAAGGAAATATCTTCCCATAAAATGTAGACAGAAACATTCTCAGAAACTTGTTTGTCATGTGTGTAATCAACTAACAGTGTTGAAGCTTTCTTTTAATGAAGCAGTTTTCAAACTCTCTTTTAGAAGAATCTGCAAGTGGGTATTTGGATAGCGATGAGGATTTCGTTGGAAACGGGAATAGCTTCATATAAAATCTCGACAGAGAAGTATTTTCAGAAACTTCTTTGTGATGTATGCATTCAAGTCCCAGAGTTGAACATTCCCTTCCACGGAGCAGGTTTGAAACACTCTTTTTCTTGTATCCGGAAGTGGACATTTGGAGCGCTTTGAGGCCTACGGTGAAAAAGGAAACTCCTTCCCATAAAAACTAGACAGAAGCATTCTCAGAAACTTGTTTGTGATGTGTGTACTCAACTAAGAGAGTTGAACCTTTCTTTTGAGAGAGCAGTTTTGAAACACCCTTTTTGTAGTATCTACAAGTGGATATTTGGATAGCTTTGAGTATTTCGGAGGAAACGGGGATATCATTATATAAAAAGTAGACAGAAGCATTTTCAGAAACTTCTTTGCGATGTATGCATTCAAGTCCCAGGGTTGAACATTCCCTTCCATGGAGCAGGTTTGAAACACTCTTTTTGCCGTATCTGGAAGTGGACATTTGGAGCGCTGTGAGGCCTACGGCGAAAAAGGAAACATCTTCCCATAAAAACTAGACAGAAGCATTCTCAGAAACTTGTTTGTCATGTGTGTACTCCACTAACAGTGTTGAAGCTTTCTTTTAATAGAGCAGTTTTCAATCTCTCTTTCAGAAGAATCTGCAAGTGGATATTTGGATAGCTTTGAGGATTTCCCTTGGAAACGGGAATAGCTTCATATAAAATCTAGACAGAAGTATTTTCAGAAACTTCTTTGTGATATATGCATTCAAGTCCCAGAGTTGAACATTCCCTTCCACGGAGCAGGTTTGAAACACTCTTTTTCTTGTATCCGGAAGTGGACATTTGGAGCGCTTTGAGGCCTACGGTGAAAAAGGAAACTCCTTCCCATAAAAACTAGACAGAAGCATTCTCAGAAACTTGTTTGTCATGTGTGTACTCAACTAACAGTGTTGAAGCTTTCTTTTAATAGAGCAGTTTTCAATCTCTCTTTCAGAAGAATCTGCAAGTGGATATTTGGATAGCTTTGAGGATTTCCTTGGAAACGGGAATAGCTTCATATAAAATCTAGACAGAAGCATTTTCAGAAACTTCTTTGTGATGTATGCATTGAAGTCCCAGGGTTGAACATTCCCTTCCATGGAGCAGGTTTGAAACACTCTTTTGCTGTGTATGGAAGTGGAAATTTGGAGCGCTGTGAGGCCTACGGTGAAAAAGGAAACATCTTCCCATAAAAACTAGACAGAAGCATTCTCAGAAACTTGTTTGTGATGTGTGTACTCAACTAAGAGAGTTGAACCTTTCTTTTGAGAGAGCAGTTTTGAAACACCCTTTTTGTAGTATCTACAAGTGGATATTTGGATAGCTTTGAGTATTTCGGAGGAAACGGGGATATCATTATATAAAAAGTAGACAGAAGCATTTTCAGAAACTTCTTTGCGATGTATGCATTGAAGTCCCAGGGTTGAACATTCCCTTCCATGGAGCAGGTTTGAAACACTCTTTTTGCCGTATCTGGAAGTGGACATTTGGAGCGCTGTGAGGCCTACGGCGAAAAAGGAAACATCTTCCCATAAAAACTAGACAGAAGCATTCTCAGAAACTTGTTTGTCATGTGTGTACTCCACTAACAGTGTTGAAGCTTTCTTTTAATAGAGCAGTTTTCAATCTCTCTTTCAGAAGAATCTGCAAGTGGATATTTGGATAGCTTTGAGGATTTCCTTGGAAACGGGAATAGCTTCATATAAAATCTAGACAGAAGCATCCTCAGAAGCTTCTTTATGAGGTTTGCATTCAAGTCACAGTGTTGAACATGACCTTTCACAGAGCAGGTTTGAAACATTCTTTTTATAGTACCTGGAAGTGTACATTTGGAGCGCTTTGAGTCCTATGGTGAAAAAGGAAATATCTTCCCATAAAATGTAGACAGAAGCACTCTCAGAAACTTGTTCCTGATGTGTGTACTCAACTAACAGAGTTGAACCTTTCTTTTGATAGAGCAGTTTTGAAACACGCTTTTTGTGGAATCTGCAAGTGGATACTTGGATGGCTTGGAGGATTTCGTTGGAAACGGGAATATCTCTCTATAAAAAGAAGAAGTATTCTCAGAAACTACTTGGTGATGTTTGCATTCAGGTCACAGAGTTCAATATTCCATTTCATATAGCAGGTTGGAAACCCTCTTTTTATAGTATCTGGAAGTGGACCTTTGGAGCGATTGAGGCCTATGGTGAAAAACAAAAATTCTTCCCATAAAAACTAGACTGAAGCACTCTCAGAAACTTGTTCCTGATGTGTGTACGAAACTAACAGAGGTGAACCTTCCTTATGGTAGACCTGTTTTGAAACACGCTTTTTGTGGAATCTGCAAGTGTATAATTGGATGGCTTTGAGGATTTCTTTGGAAACGGGAATATCTCTCTATAAAAAGAAGAAGTATTCTCAGAAACTACTTGGTGATGTTTGCATTCAGGTCACAGAGTTCAATATTCCATTTCATATAGCAGGTTGGAAACCCTCTTTTTATAGTATCTGGAAGTGGACCTTTGGAGCGATTGAGGCCTATGGTGAAAAACAAAAATTCTTCCCATAAAAACTAGACTGAAGCATTCTCAGAAACTTGTTTGTCATGTGTGTACTCCACTAACAGTGTTGAAGCTTTCTTTTAATAGAGCAGTTTTCAATCTCTCTTTCAGAAGAATCTGCAAGTGGATATTTGGATAGCTTTGAGGATTTCCTTGGAAACGGGAATAGCTTCATATAAAATCTAGACAGAAGCATTTTCAGAAACTTCTTTGTGATGTATGCATTCAAGTCCCAGAGTTGAACATTCCCTTCCATGGAGCAGGTTTGAAACACTCTTTTTCTTGTATCCGCAAGTGGACATTTGGAGCGCTTTGAGGCCTACGGTGAAAAAGGAAACTCCTTCCCATAAAAACTAGACAGAAACATTCTCAGAAACTTGTTTGTCATGTGTGTACTCAACTAACAGTGTTGAAGCTTTCTTTTAATAGAGCAGATTTCAAACTCTCTTTTAGAAGGATCTGCAAGAGGATATTTGGATACCTTTGAGATTTTCGTTGGAAACGGGAATAGCTTCATATAACGTCTAGACAGAAGTATTCTCAGAAACTACTTGGTGATGTTTGCATTCAAGTCACAGAGTTCAATATTCCATTTCATAGAGCAGGTTTGTAACCCTCTTTTTATAGTATCTGGAAGTGGACCTTTGGAGCGATTGAGGCCTAAGGTGAAAAATAAAAATTCTTCCCATAAAAACTAGACTGAAGCACTCTCAGAAACTTGTTCCTGATGTGTGTACTCAACTAACAGAGTTGAACCTTTCTTTTGATAGAGCAGTTTTGAAACACGCTTTTTGTGGAATCTGCAAGTGGATACTTGGATGGCTTGGAGGATTTCGTTGGAAACGGGAATATCTCTCTATAAAAAGAAGATGCCTTCTGGGAAACGACTTTGTGATGTTTCCATTCAAGTCTCGGAGTTCAACATTCCCTTTCATAGAGCAGGTTTGAAACACTCTTTTTGTAGTATCTGGAAGTGGACATTTGGAGTGCTTTGAGGCATACGGTGGAATAGGAAATCTCTTCCCATAAAAACTAGACAGAAGCATTCTCAGAAACTTGTTTGTCATGTGTGTACTCCACTAACAGTGTTGAAGCTTTCTTTTAATAGAGCAGTTTTCAAACTCTCTTTTAGAAGTATCTGCAAGTGGATAATTGGATAGCGTTGAGGATTTCGTTGGAAACGGGAATAGTTTCATTTAAAATCTAGACAGAAGTATTCTCAGAAACTACTTGGTGATGTTTGCATTCAAGTCACAGAGTTCAATATTCCATTTCATAGAGCAGGTTTGTAACCCTCTTTTTATAGTATCTGGAAGTGGACCTTTGGAGCGATTGAGGCCTAAGGTGAAAAATAAAAATTCTTCCCATAAAAACTAGACTGAAGCATTCTCAGAAACTTGTTTGTCATGTGTGTACTCAACTAACAGTGTTGAAGCTTTCTTTTAATAGAGCAGTTTTCAATCTCTCTTTCAGAAGAATCTGCAAGTGGATATTTGGATAGCTTTGAGGATTTCCTTGGAAACGGGAATAGCTTCATATAAAATCTAGACAGAAGTATTTTCAGAAACTTCTTTGTGATGTATGCATTCAAGTCCCAGAGTTGAACATTCCCTTCCACGGAGCAGGTTTGAAACACTCTTTTTCTTGTATCCGGAAGTGGACATTTGGAGCGCTTTGAGGCCTACGGTGAAAAAGGAAACTCCTTCCCATAAAAACTAGACAGAAGCATTCTCAGAAACTTGTTTGTCATGTGTGTACTCAACTAACAGTGTTGAAGCTTTCTTTTAATAGAGCAGTTTTCAATCTCTCTTTCAGAAGAATCTGCAAGTGGATATTTGGATAGCTTTGAGGATTTCCTTGGAAACGGGAATAGCTTCATATAAAATCTAGACAGAAGTATTCTCAGAAACTACTTGGTGATGTTCGCATTCAGGTCACAGAGTTCAATATTCCATTTCATAGAGCAGGTTTGAAACCCTCTTTTTATAGTATCTGGAAGTGGACCTTTGGAGCGATTGAGGCCTATGGTGAAAAACAAAAATTCTTCCCATAAAAACTAGACTGAAACATTCTCAGAAACTTGTTTGTCATGTGTGTACTCAACTAACAGTGTTGAAGCTTTCTTTTAATAGAGCAGATTTCAAACTCTCTTTTAGAAGGATCTGCAAGAGGATATTTGGATACCTTTGAGATTTTCGTTGGAAACGGGAATAGCTTCATATAACGTCTAGACAGAAGCATTTTCAGAAACTTCTTTGCGATGTATGCATTGAAGTCCCAGGGTTGAACATTCCCTTCCATGGAGCAGGTTTGAAACACTCTTTTTGCCGTATCTGGAAGTGGACATTTGGAGCGCTGTGAGGCCTACGGCGAAAAAGGAAACATCTTCCCATAAAAACTAGACAGAAGCATTCTCAGAAACTTGTTTGTGATGTGGGTACTCAACTAACAGGGTTGACCCTTTCTTTTGAGAGAGCAGATTTGAAACACTCTTTTTGCAGGATCTGCAAGTGGATATTTGGATAGCTTTGAGGATTTCGGAGGAAACGGGAATATCTTTATATAAAAAGCAGACAGAAGCATTTTCAGAAACTTCATTGTGATGTACGCATTCAAGTCCCAGAGTTGAACATTCCCTTCCGTGGAGCAGGTTTCAAACACTCTTTTTGTTGTATCTGGAAATGGACATTTGGAGCGCTTTGAGGCCTACGGTGAAAAAGGAAACATCTTCACATAAAAACTAGACAGAAGCATTCTCAGAAACTTGTTTGTCATGTGTGTAATCAACTAACAGTGTTGAAGCTTTCTTTTAATGAAGCAGTTTTCAAACTCTCTTTTAGAAGAATCTGCAAGTGGATATTTGGATAGCGTTGAGGATTTCGTTGGAAACGGGAATAGCTTCATATAAAATCTCGACAGAAGCCTTCTGGGAAACGACTTTGTGATGTTTCCATTCAAGTCTCAGAGTTGAACGTTCCCTTTCATAGAACAGGTTTGAAACACTCTTTTTGTAGTATCTGGAAGTGGACATTTGGAGCGCTTTGAGGCCTACGGTGGAATAGGAAATCTCTTCCCTTAAAAACTAGACAGAAGCATTCTCAGAAACTTGTTTGTCATGTGTCTACTCAACTAACAGAGTTGAACCTTTCGTTTGATAGAGCAGATCGGGAACACTCTGTTTGTAGAATCTGCAAGTGGATATTTGGATAGCTTTGAGGATTTCAGAGGAAACGGGAATATCTTTATATGAAAAGTAGACAGAAGCATTTTCAGAAACTTCTTTGTGATGTATGCATTGAAGTCCCAGGGTTGAACATTCCCTTCCATGGAGCAGGTTTGAAACACTCTTTTGCTGTGTATGGAAGTGGAAATTTGGAGCGCTGTGAGGCCTACGGTGAAAAAGGAAACATTCTCCCCTAAAAACTAGACAGAAGCATTCTCAGAAACTTGTTTGTCATGTGTGTACTCAACTAACAGTGTTGAAGCTTTCTTTTAATAGAGCAGTTTTCAATCTCTCTTTTAGAAGAATCTGCAAGTGGATATTTGGATAGATTTGAGGATTTCCTTGGAAACGGGAATAGCTTCATATAAAATCTAGACAGAAGTATTCTCAGAAACTACTTGGTGATGTTTGCATTCAGGTCACAGAGTTCAATATTCCATTTCATATAGCAGGTTGGAAACCCTCTTTTTATAGTATCTGGAAGTGGACCTTTGGAGCGATTGAGGCCTATGGTGAAAAACAAAAATTCTTCCCATAAAAACTAGACTGAAGCATTCTCAGAAACTTGTTTGTCATGTGTGTACTCAACTAACAGTGTTGAAGCTTTCTTTTAATAGAGCAGTTTTCAATCTCTCTTTTAGAAGAATCTGCAAGTGGATATTTGGATAGCTTTGAGGATTTCCTTGGAAACGGGAATAGCTTCATATAAAATCTAGACAGAAGTATTCTCAGAAACTACTTGGTGATGTTTGCATTCAGGTCACAGAGTTCAATATTCCATTTCATATAGCAGGTTGGAAACCCTCTTTTTATAGTATCTGGAAGTGGACCTTTGGAGCGATTGAGGCCTATGGTGAAAAACAAAAATTCTTCCCATAAAAACTAGACTGAAGCATTCTCAGAAACTTGTTTGTCATGTGTGTACTCCACTAACAGTGTTGAAGCTTTCTTTTAATAGAGCAGTTTTCAATCTCTCTTTCAGAAGAATCTGCAAGTGGATATTTGGATAGCTTTGAGGATTTCCTTGGAAACGGGAATAGCTTCATATAAAATCTAGACAGAAGCATTTTCAGAAACTTCTTTGTGATGTATGCATTGAAGTCCCAGGGTTGAACATTCCCTTCCATGGAGCAGGTTTGAAACACTCTTTTGCTGTGTATGGAAGTGGAAATTTGGAGCGCTGTGAGGCCTACGGTGAAAAAGGAAACATTCTCCCCTAAAAACTAGACAGAAGCATTCTCAGAAACTTGTTTGTCATGTGTCTACTCAACTAACAGAGTTGAACCTTTCGTTTGATAGAGCAGATCGGGAACACTCTGTTTGTAGAATCTGCAAGTGGATATTTGGATAGCTTTGAGGATTTCAGAGGAAACGGCAATATCTTTATATAAAAAGTAGACAGGAGCATCCTCAGAAACTTCTTTATCATGTTTGCATTCAAGTCACAGAGTTGAACATTCCCTTTCACAGAGCAGGTTGGAAACATTGTTTTTATAGTATCTGGAAGTGTACATTTGGAGCGCTTTGAGTCCTATGGTGAAAAAGGAAATATCTTCCCATAAAATGTAGACAGAAGGATTCTCAGAAACTTGTTTGGGATGTGTGTTCTCACCTAACAGTGTTGAACCTTTCTTTTGATAGAGCAGCTTTCAAACACACTTTTTGTAAAATCTGCAAGTGGATATTTGGATAGCTTCGATGATTTCGTTGGAAACGGGATTATCTTCATATAAAAAGGAGACGGAAGCATCCTCAGAAGCTTCTTTATAAGGTTTGCATTCAAGTCACAGTGTTGAACATTCCCTTTCACAGAGCAGGTTTGAAACATTCTTTTTATAGTATCCGGAAGTGTACATTTGGAGCGCTTTGAGTCCTATGGTGAAGAAGGAAATATCTTCCCATAAAATGTAGACAGAAGGATTCTCAGAAACTTGTTTGGGATGTGTGTACTCAACTAACAGTGTTGAACCTTTCTTTTGATAGAGCAGCTTTAAACACACTTTTTGTAAAATCTGCAAGTGGATATTTGGATGGCTTCGAGGATTTCGTTGGAAACGGGATTATCTTCAGATAAAAAGGAGATGGAAGCCTTCTGGGAAACGACTTTGTGATGTTTCCATTCAAGTTTCAGAGTTGAACATTCCCATTCATAGAACAGGTTTGAAACACTCTTTTTGTAGTATCTGGATGTGGACATTTGGAGCGCTTTGAGGCTCACGGTGGAATTGGAATTCTCTTCCCTTAAAAACTAGACAGAAGCATTCTCAGAAACTTGTTTGTCATGTGTCTACTCAACTAACAGAGTTGAACCTTTCGTTTGATAGAGCAGATCGGGAACACTCTGTTTGTAGAATCTGCAAGTGGATATTTGGATAGCTTTGAGGATTTCAGAGGAAACGGGAATATCTTTATATGAAAAGTAGACAGAAGCATTTTCAGAAACTTCTTTGTGATGTATGCATTGAAGTCCCAGGGTTGAACATTCCCTTCCATGGAGCAGGTTTGAAACACTCTTTTGCTGTGTATGGAAGTGGAAATTTGGAGCGCTGTGAGGCCTACGGTGAAAAAGGAAACATTCTCCCCTAAAAACTAGACAGAAGCATTCTCAGAAACTTGTTTGTGATGTGTGTACTCAACTAAGAGAGTTGAACCTTTCTTTTGAGAGAGCAGTTTTGAAACACCCTTTTTGTAGTATCTACAAGTGGATATTTGGATAGCTTTGAGTATTTCGGAGGAAACGGGGATATCATTATATAAAAAGTAGACAGAAGCATTCTCGGAAACTTCCTAGTGATGTTTGCATTCAACTCACAGAGTTGAGCATTCCCTTTTACAGAGCAGGTTTTGAAACAGTCTTTTTCTAGTATCTGGAAGTGGACATTCCGAAGGCTCTGAGTCCCATGGTGAAAAAGGAAATCTCTTCCCATGAAAACTAGACAGAAGCATTCTCAGAAACTTGTTTGTGATGTGTGTACTCAACTAAGAGAGTTGAACCTTTCTTTTGAGAGAGCAGTTTTGAAACACCCTTTTTGTAGTATCTACAAGTGGATATTTGGATAGCTTTGAGTATTTCGGAGGAAACGGGGATATCATTATATAAAAAGTAGACAGAAGCATTTTCAGAAACTTCTTTGCGATGTATGCATTGAAGTCCCAGGGTTGAACATTCCCTTCCATGGAGCAGGTTTGAAACACTCTTTTTGCCGTATCTGGAAGTGGACATTTGGAGCGCTGTGAGGCCTACGGCGAAAAAGGAAACATCTTCCCATAAAAACTAGACAGAAGCATTCTCAGAAACTTGTTTGTCATGTGTGTACTCCACTAACAGTGTTGAAGCTTTCTTTTAATAGAGCAGTTTTCAATCTCTCTTTCAGAAGAATCTGCAAGTGGATATTTGGATAGCTTTGAGGATTTCCTTGGAAACGGGAATAGCTTCATATAAAATCTAGACAGAAGCATTTTCAGAAACTTCTTTGCGATGTATGCATTGAAGTCCCAGGGTTGAACATTCCCTTCCATGGAGCAGGTTTGAAACACTCTTTTTGCCGTATCTGGAAGTGGACATTTGGAGCGCTGTGAGGCCTACGGCGAAAAAGGAAACATCTTCCCATAAAAACTAGACAGAAGCATTCTCAGAAACTTGTTTGTGATGTGTGTACTCAACTAAGAGAGTTGAACCTTTCTTTTGAGAGAGCAGTTTTGAAACACCCTTTTTGTAGTATCTACAAGTGGATATTTGGATAGCTTTGAGTATTTCGGAGGAAACGGGGATATCATTATATAAAAAGTAGACAGAAGCATTCTCAGAAACTTCTTTGTGATGTTTGCTTTCAACTCACAGAGTTGAGCATTCCCTTTTACAGAGCAGGTTTGAAACAG
The DNA here is from genome assembly GCF_000001405.40 of Homo sapiens. Lineage (NCBI taxonomy): Eukaryota > Metazoa > Chordata > Mammalia > Primates > Hominidae > Homo > Homo sapiens. The sequence goes on from NC_000016.10 coordinate 36,328,408, forward strand.
TCTTTTTCTAGTATCTGGAAGTGGACATTCCGAAGGCTTTGAGGCCTATGGTGAAAAAGGAAATCTCTTCCCATAAAAAGTAGACAGAAGCATTCTCAGAAACTTGTTTGTGATGTGTGTACTCAACTAACAGAGTTCGCCCTTTCTTTTGAGAGAGCAGTTTTGAAACACTCTTTTTGTAGGATCTGCAAGTGGATATTTGGATAGCTTTGAGGATTTCGGAGGAAACGGGAATATCTTTATATAAAAAGCAGACAGAAGCATTTTCAGAAACTTCTTTTGTGATGTACGCATTCAAGTCCCAGAGTTGAACATTCCCTTCCGTGGAGCAGGTTTGAAACACTCTTTTTGTTGTATCTGGAAATGGACATTTGGAGCGCTTTGAGGCCTACGGTGAAAAAGGAAATATCTTCCCATAAAAACTAGAGAGAAGCATTCTCAGAAACTTGTTTGTGATGTGTGTACTCAACTAACAGAGTTCGCCCTTTCTTTTGAGAGAGCAGTTTTGAAACACTCTTTTTGTAGGATCTGCAAGTGGATATTTGGATAGCTTTGAGGATTTCGGAGGAAACGGGAATATCTTTATATAAAAAGCAGACAGAAGCATTCTCAGAAACTTCTTTGTGATGTTTGCTTTCAACTCACAGAGTTGAGCATTCCCTTTTACAGAGCAGGTTTGAAACAGTCTTTTTCTAGTATCTGGAAGTGGACATTCCGAAGGCTTTGAGGCCTATGGTGAAAAAGGAAATCTCTTCCCATAAAAAGTAGACAGAAGCATTCTCCGAAACTTGTTTTTTGATGTGTGTACACAACTAACAGAGTTGAACCTTTCTTTTGATAGAGTAGTTTTGAAACACTCTTGTTGTAGGATCTGTAAGTGGATATTTGGATTGCTCTGAGGATTTCGTTGGAAAAGGGATTATCTCCATATGAAAAGCAGAAACATTCTCGGAAACTTCGTAGTGATGTTTGCATTCAACTCACAGAGTTGAGCATTCCCTTTTACAGAGCAGGTTTTGAAACAGTCTTTTTCTAGTATCTGGAAGTGGACATTCCGAAGGCTCTGAGGCCCATGGTGAAAAAGGAAATCTCTTCCCATGAAAACTAGACAGAAGCATTCTCAGAAACTTGTTTGTGATGTGTGTACTCAACTAAGAGAGTTGAACCTTTCTTTTGAGAGAGCAGTTTTGAAACACCCTTTTTGTAGTATCTACAAGTGGATATTTGGATAGCTTTGAGTATTTCGGAGGAAACGGGGATATCATTATATAAAAAGTAGACAGAAGCATTCTCGGAAACTTCCTAGTGATGTTTGCATTCAACTCACAGAGTTGAGCATTCCCTTTTACAGAGCAGGTTTTGAAACAGTCTTTTTCTAGTATCTGGAAGTGGACATTCCGAAGGCTCTGAGTCCCATGGTGAAAAAGGAAATCTCTTCCCATGAAAACTAGACAGAAGCATTCTCCGAAACTTGTTTTTTGATGTGTGTACACAATTAACAGAGTTGAACCTTTCTTTTGATAGAGTAGTTTTGAAACACTCTTGTTGTAGGATCTGTAAGTGGATATTTGGATTGCTCTGAGGATTTCGTTGGAAAAGGGATTATCTCCATATGAAAAGCAGAAGCATTCTCGGAAACTTCCTAGTGATGTTTGCATTCAACTCACAGAGTTGAGCATTCCCTTTTACAGAGCAGGTTTTGAAACAGTCTTTTTCTAGTATCTGGAAGTGGACATTCCGAAGGCTCTGAGTCCCATGGTGAAAAAGGAAATCTCTTCCCATGAAAACTAGACAGAAGCACTCTCAGAAACTTGTTCCTGATGTGTGTACTCAACTAACAGAGGTGAACCTTCCTTTTGGTAGACCAGTTTTGAAACACGCTTTTTGTGGAATCTGCAAATGGACACTTGGATGGCTTTGAGGATTTCTTTGGAAACGGGAATATCTCCATATGAAAAGAAGAAGCATTCTCGGAAACTTCATAGTGATGTTTGCATTCAAGTCACAGAGTGGAGCATTCCCTTTTACAGAGCAGGTTTTGAAACAGTCTTTTTCTAGTATCTGAAAGTGGACATTCCGAACGCTCTGAGGCCCATGGTGAAAAAGGAAATCTCTTCCCATGAAAACTAGACAGAAGCATTCTCAGAAACTTGTTTTTGATGTGTGTACTCAACTAACAGAGTTGAACCTTTCTTTTGATAGAGCAGTTTTGAAACACTCTTGTTATAGAATCTGCAAGTGGATATTTGGATTGCTTTGAGGATTTCGTTGGAAACGGGATTATCTCCATATGAAAAGAAGAAGCCTTCTGGGAAACGACTTTGTGATGTTTCCATTCAAGTTTCAGAGTTGAACATTCCCATTCATAGAACAGGTTTGAAACACTCTTTTTGTAGTATCTGGATGTGGACATTTGGAGCGCTTTGAGGCCTACGGTGAAAAAGGCTGTCTCTTCCACAAAAAGTAGACAGAAGGATTCTCAGAAACTTCTTTGGGATGTGTGTACTCAACTAACAGTGTTGAACCTTTCTTTTGATAGAGCAGCTTTCAAACACACTTTTTGTAAAATCTGCAAGTGGATATTTGGATAGCTTTGAGGATTTCGTTGGAAACGGGATTATCTTCAGATAAAAAGGAGACGGAAGCCTTCTGGGAAACGACTTTGTGATGTTTCCATTCAAGTTTCAGAGTTGAACATTCCCATTCATAGAACAGGTTTGAAACACTCTTTTTGTAGTATCTGGATGTGGACATTTGGAGCGCTTTGAGGCCCACGGTGGAATTGGAATTCTCTTCCCTTAAAAACTAGACAGAAGCATTCTCAGAAACTTGTTTGTCATGTGTCTACTCAACTAACAGAGTTGAACCTTTCGTTTGATAGAGCAGATCGGGAACACTCTGTTTGTAGAATCTGCCAGTGGATATTTGGATAGCTTTGAGGATTTCGGAGGAAACGGGAATATCTTTATATGAAAAGTAGACAGAAGCATTTTCAGAAACTTCTTTGTGATGTATGCATTGAAGTCCCAGGGTTGAACATTCCCTTCCATGGAGCAGGTTTGAAACACTCTTTTGCTGTGTATGGAAGTGGAAATTTGGAGCGCTGTGAGGCCTACGGTGAAAAAGGAAACATCTTCCCATAAAAACTAGACAGAAGCATTCTCAGAAACTTGTTTGTGATGTGTGTACTCAAATAACAGTGTTGAACCTTTCTTTTGAGAGACCAGTTTTGAAACACTCTTTTTCTAGGATCTGCAAGTGGATATTTGCATAGCTTTTAGGATTTCGGAGGAAAGGGGAATATCTTTATATAAAAAGTAGACAGAAGCATTCTCGGAAACTTCCTAGTGATGTTTGCATTCAACTCACAGAGTTGAGCATTCCCTTTTACAGAGCGGGTTTTGAAACAGTCTTTTTCTAGTATCTGGAAGTGGACATTCCGAAGGCTCTGAGTCCCATGGTGAAAAAGGAAATCTCTTCCCATGAAAACTAGACAGAAGGATTCTCAGAAACTTGTTTGGGATGTGTGTACTCAACTAACAGTGTTGAACCTTTCTTTTGATAGAGCAACTTTCAAACACACTTTTTGTAAAATCTGCAAGTGGATATTTGGATAGCTTTGAGGATTTCGTTGGAAACGGGATTATCTTCAGATAAAAAGGAGACGGAAGCCTTCTGGGAAACGACTTTGTGATGTTTCCATTCAAGTTTCAGAGTTGAACATTCCCATTCATAGAACAGGTTTGAAACACTCTTTTTGTAGTATCTGGATGTGGACATTTGGAGCGCTTTGAGGCCTACGGTGAAAAAGGCTATCTCTTCCACAAAAAGTAGACAGAAGCATTCTCCGAAACTTGTTTTTTGATGTGTGTACACAATTAACAGAGTTGAACCTTTCTTTTGATAGAGTAGTTTTGAAACACTCTTGTTGTAGGATCTGTAAGTGGATATTTGGATTGCTCTGAGGATTTCGTTGGAAAAGGGATTATCTCCATATGAAAAGCAGAAGCATTCTCGGAAACTTCCTAGTGATGTTTGCATTCAACTCACAGAGTTGAGCATTCCCTTTTACAGAGCAGGTTTTGAAACAGTCTTTTTCTAGTATCTGGAAGTGGACATTCCGAAGGCTCTGAGTCCCATGGTGAAAAAGGAAATCTCTTCCCATGAAAACTAGACAGAAGCATTCTCCGAAACTTGTTTTTTGATGTGTGTACACAATTAACAGAGTTGAACCTTTCTTTTGATAGAGTAGTTTTGAAACACTCTTGTTGTAGGATCTGTAAGTGGATATTTGGATTGCTCTGAGGATTTCGTTGGAAAAGGGATTATCTCCATATGAAAAGCAGAAGCCTTCTGGGAAACGACTTTGTGATGTTTCCATTCAAGTTTCAGAGTTGAACATTCCCATTCATAGAACAGGTTTGAAACACTCTTTTTGTAGTATCTGGATGTGGACATTTGGAGCGCTTTGAGGCCAACGGTGGAATTGGAAATCTCTTCCCTTAAAAACTAGACAGAAGCATTCTCAGAAACTTGTTTGTCATGTGTCTACTCAACTAACAGAGTTGAACCTTTCGTTTGATAGAGCAGATCGGGAACACTCTGTTTGTAGAATCTGCAAGTGGATATTTGGATAGCTTTGAGGATTTCAGAGGAAACGGCAATATCTTTATATAAAAAGTAGACAGGAACATTCTCGGAAACTTCGTAGTGATGTTTGCATTCAACTCACAGAGTTGAGCATTCCCTTTTACAGAGCGGGTTTTGAAACAGTCTTTTTCTAGTATCTGGAAGTGGACATTCCGAAGGCTCTGAGTCCCATGGTGAAAAAGGAAATCTCTTCCCATGAAAACTAGACAGAAGCATTCTCAGAAACTTGTTTGTGATGTGTGTACTCAACTAAGAGAGTTGAACCTTTCTTTTGAGAGAGCAGTTTTGAAACACCCTTTTTGTAGTATCTACAAGTGGATATTTGGATAGCTTTGAGTATTTCGGAGGAAACGGGGATATCATTATATAAAAAGTAGACAGAAGCATTTTCAGAAACTTCTTTGTAATGTATGCATTCAAGTCCCAGGGTTGAACATTCCCTTTCACAGATGAGGTACGAAACCCTCTTTTTGTAGAATCTGGAAGTGGACATTTGGAGCGCTTTGAGGCCTACGGTGAAAAAGGCTATCTCTTCCACAAAAAGTAGACAGAAGGATTCTCAGAAACTTGTTTGGGATGTGTGTACTCAACTAACAGTGTTGAACCTTTCTTTTGATAGAGCAGCTTTCAAACACACTTTTTGTAAAATCTGCAAGTGGATATTTGGATAGCTTTGAGGATTTCGTTGGAAACGGGATTATCTTCAGATAAAAAGGAGACGGAAGCCTTCTGGGAAACGACTTTGTGATGTTTCCATTCAAGTTTCAGAGTTGAACATTCCCATTCATAGAACAGGTTTGAAACACTCTTTTTGTAGTATCTGGATGTGGACATTTGGAGCGCTTTGAGGCCCACGGTGGAATTGGAATTCTCTTCCCTTAAAAACTAGACAGAAGGATTCTCAGAAACTTGTTTGGGATGTGTGTGCTCAACTAACGGTGTTGAACCTTTCTTTTGATAGAGCAGCTTTCAAACACACTTTTTGTAAAATCTGCAAGTGGATATTTGGATGGCTTCGAGGATTTCGTTGGAAACGGGATTATCTTCAGATAAAAAGGAGACGGAAGCATCCTCAGAAACTTCTTTATGATGTTTGCATTCAAGTCACAGAGTTGAACATTCCCTTTCACAGAGCAGGTACGAAACAGTCTTTTTATCGTATCTGGAAGTGGACATTTGGAGCGCTTTGAGGCCTATGGTGAAAAAGGAAATATCTTCCCATAAAATCTAGACAGAAGCACTCTCAGAAACTTGTTCCTGATGTGTGTACGAAACTAACAGAGGTGAACCTTCCTTATGGTAGACCTGTTTTGAAACACGCTTTTTGTGGAATCTGCAAGTGTATAATTGGATGGCTTTGAGGATTTCTTTGGAAACGGGAATATCTCTCTATAAAAAGAAGA
>NC_000016.10:36334560-36337566 GCF_000001405.40 Homo sapiens
TCCCAAATGTCCACTTCCGGATACAAGAAAAAGAGTGTTTCAAACCTGCTCCGTGGAAGGGAATGTTCAACTCTGGGACTTGAATGCATACATCACAAAGAAGTTTCTGAAAATACTTCTGTCTACTTTTTATATAAAGATATTCCCCTTTCCTCCGAAATCCTAAAAGCTATGCAAATATCCACTTGCAGATCCTAGAAAAAGAGTGTTTCAAAACTGGTCTCTCAAAAGAAAGGTTCAACACTGTTATTTGAGTACACACATCACAAACAAGTTTCTGAGAATGCTTATGTCTAGTTTTTATGGGAAGATACTTCCCTTTCCACCATAGGCCTCTAAGCGTTCGGAATCTCCACTTCCAGATACTACAAAAAGACTGTTTCAAACCAGCTCTGTAAAAGGGAATGCTCAGCTCCGTGACTTGAATGCAAAGATCACAAAGAAGTTTCTGAGAATGCTTCTTCTTTTCATATGGAGATAATCCCGTTTCCAACGAAATCCTCAAAGCAATCCAAATATCCACTTGCAGATTCTATAACAAGAGTGTTTCATAACTGCTCTATCAAAAGAGAGGTTCAACTCTGTTAGTTGAGTACACACATCAAAAACAAGTTTCTGAGAAAGCTTCTGTCTAGTTTTTATGGGAAGAGATCTCTTTTTCACCATAGGCCTCAAAGCACTCCAAATGCCCACTTCCAGATTCTACAAAAAGAGTGTTTCATACCTGCTCTATGAAAGGGAATGTTCAACTCTGTGACTTGAATGCAATCATCATAAAGAAGTTTCTGACAATGCATCTGTCTAGATTTTATATGATGATATTCCCGTTTCCAACGAAATCCTGAAAGCTATCCAAATATCCACTTCCAGATCCTACAAAAAGAGTGTTTCAATACTGCTCTCTCAAAAGAAAGGTTCAACTCTGTTTGTTGAGTATACACATCACAAACAAGTTTCTGAGAATGCTTCTGTCTAGTTTTTATGGGAAGAGATATCCTTTTTCACCGTAGGACACAAAGCGATCCAAATGTCCACTTCCAGATTCTACAAAAACAGTGTTTCATACCAGCTCTGTGAAAGGGAATGTTCAACTCTGTGACTTGAATGCAATCATCATAAAGAAGTTTCTGAGAATTCATCTGTCTAGATTTTATATGACGATATTCCCGATTCCAACGGAATCCCCAAAGCTATCCAAATATCCACTTGCAGATTCTTCTAAAAGAGAGTTTGAAATCTGCTCTATTAAAAGAAAGCTTCAACACTGTTAGTTGGGTACACACATGACAAACAAGTTTCTGAGAATGCTTCTGTCTAGTTTTTATGGGAAGATGTTTCCTTTTTCACCGTAGGCCTCAAAGCGCTCCAAATGTCCACTTCCGAATACAACAAAAAGAGTGTTTCAAACCTGCTCCATTGAAGGGCATGTTCAACTCTTTGACTTGAATGCATACATCACAAAGAAGTTTCTGAAAATGCTTCTGTCTACTTTTTATGTAAAGATATTCCCGTTTCCTCTGAAATCCTCAAAGCTATGCAAATATCCACTTGCAGATCCTACAAAAAGAGTGTTTCAAAACTGGTCTCTCAAAAGAAAGGTTCAACTCTGTTAGCTGAGTACACACATCACAAACAAGTTTCTGAGAATGCTTCTGTCTAGTTTTTATGGGAAGAGATTTCCCTTTTCACCATAGGCCTCTAAGCGTTCGGAATCTCCACTTCCAGATACTACAAAAAGACTGTGTAAACCCAGCTCTGTAAAAGGGAAGGCTCAGCTCCGTGAATTGAATGCAAACATCACAAAGAAGTTTCTGAGAATGCTTCTTCTTTTCATATGGAGATAATCCCTTTTCTAACGAAATCCTCAAAGTAATCCAAATATCCACTTGCAGATTCTATAACAAGAGTGTTTCAAAACTGCTCTATCAAAAGAGAGGGTCAATTCTGTTAATTGAGTACACACATCAAAAACAAGTTTCTGGGAAAGCTTCTGTCTAGTTTTTATGGGAAGAGATTTCTTTTTCACCATAGGCCTCAAAGCACTCCAAATGTCCACTTCCAGATTCTACAAAAAGAGTGTTTCATACCTGCTCTATGAAAGGGAATGCTCAACTCTGTGACTTGAATGCAAACATCACTACGAAGTTTCCGAGAATGCTTCTTCTTTTCATATGGAGATAATCCCGTTTCCAACGAAATCCTCAGAGCAATCCAAATATCCACTTACAGATCCTATAACAAGAGTGTTCCAAACTGCTCTATCAAAAGAAAGGTTCAACTCTGTTAGTTGTGTACACACATCAAAAAACAAGTTTCGGAGAATGCTTCTGTCTACTATTTATGGGAAGAGACAGCCTTTTTCACCGTAGGCCTCAAAGCGCTCCAAATGTCCACTTCCAGATTCTACAAAAAGAGGGTTTCATACTGGCTCTGTGAAAGGGAATGTTCAACCGTGTGACTTGAATGCAATCATCATAAAGAAGTTTCTGAGAATGCGTCTGTCTAGATTTTATATGATGATATTCCCGTTTCCAACGAAATCCTCAAAGCTATCCAAATATCCAGTTGCAGATTCTACAGAGTGTTCCCGATCTGCTCTATCAAACAAAAGGTTCAACTCTGTTAGTTGAGTAGACACATGACAAACAACTTTCTGAGAATGCTTCTGTCTAGTTTTTAAGGGAAGAGATTTCCTATTCCACCGTAGGCCTCAAAGCGCTCCAAATGTCCACTTCCAGATACTACAAAAAGAGTGTTTCAAACCTGTTCTATGAAAGGGAACGTTCAACTCTGAGACTTGAATGGAAACATCACAAAGTCGTTTCCCAGAAGGCTTCCGTCTCCTTTTTATATGAAGATAATCCCGTTTCCAACGAAATCATCGAAGCTATCCAAATATCCACTTGCAGATTTTACAAAAAGTGTGTTTGAAAGCTGCTCTATCAAAAGAAAGGTTCAACACTGTTAGGTGAGAACACACATCCCAAACAAGTTTCTGAGAATCCC
>NC_000016.10:37946293-37956425 GCF_000001405.40 Homo sapiens
CTAATGCTAGATGACACATTAGTGGGTGCAGCGCACCAGCATGGCACATGTATACATATGTAACTAACCTGCACAATGTGCACATGTACCCTAATACTTAGAGTATAATAAAAAAAAAAAAAAAAAGCACACTACGCAGTTTCTGGGAATGATTTAGAATTCTTAGTAACTTCTTTGTGTTGTGTGTATTCAACTGACAGAGTTGAACCTTCCTTTAGACAGAGCAGATTTGAAAGTCTCTTTTTGTGGAATTTGCAAGTGGAGATTTCAAGCGCTTTGAGGCCAAAAGCAGAAAAGGAAATATTTTCCTATAAAAACTAGACAGAATCTTTCTCAGAAACTGCTCTGGGATGTGTGCGTTCAACTCACAGAGTTTAACTTTTCTTTTCATTCAGCAGTTTGGAAACACTCTGTTTGGAAAGTCTGCACGTGGATATTTTGACCTCTTTGAGGCCTTCGTTGGAAATGGGTTTTTTTCATGTAAGGCTAGACAGAAGAAATCTCAGTAACTTCCTTGTGTTGTGTGTATTCAACTGACAGAGTTGAACCTTCCTTTAGACAGAGCAGATTCGAAACACTCTTTTTCTGCAATTTGCAAGTGGAGACTTCAAGCGCTTTGAGGCCAAAGGCAGAAAAGGATATATCTTCGTATAAAAACCCGACAGAATCATTCTCAGAAACTGCTCTGTGATGTGTGCGTTCAACTCACAGAGTTTAACTTTTCTTTTCATTCAGCAGTTTGGAAACACTCTGTTTGTAAAGTCTGCAAGTGGATATCTTGGCCTCTTAGAGGCCTTCGTTGGAAGCGGGTTTTTTCATGTAAGGATAGACAGAGGAATTCCCAGTAACTTCCTTGTGTTGTGTGCATTCAACTCACAGAGTTGAATGATTCTTTACACAGAGCAGATTTGAGACACTCTTTTGGTGGAATTTGTAAGTGGAGAATTCAGCCGCTTTGAGGTCAACGGTAGAAAAGCAAATATCTTCGTATAAAAACTAGACAGAATGATTCTCAGAAACTGTTTTGTGATGTGTGCGTTCAACTCACAGAGTTTAACCTTTCTTTTCAAAGAGCAGTTAGGAAACACTCTGTTTGTAAAGTCTGCAAGTGGATATTCAGACCTCTTTGAGGCCTTCGTTGGAAACGGGATTTCTTCATATTATGCTAGACAGATGAATTCTCAGTAACTTCCTTGTGTTGTGTGTATTCAACTCACAGAGTTGAACGATCCTTTACACAGAGCAGATTTGAAACACTGTTTTTCTGGAATTTGCAAGTGGAGATTTCAGCCGCTTTGAGGTCAATGGTAGAAAAGGAAATATCTTCTGTATAAAAACTAGACAGAATGATTCTCAGAAACTCCTTTGTGATGTGTGCGTTCAACTCACAGAGTTTAACCTTTCTTTTCACAGAGCAGTTAGGAAACACTCTGTTTGTGAAGCCTGCCAGTGGATATTCGGACCTCTTTCAGGCCTTCGTTGGAAACGGGATTTCTTCATATTATGCTAGACAGAAGATTTCTCAGTAACTTCTTTGTGTTGTGTGTATGCAAATCACAGAGTTCAACCTTCCTTTAGACAGAGCAGATTTGAAACACTCTTTTTGTGGAATTTGCAAGTGGAGATTTCAAGCGCTTCGATGCCAATGGTAGAAAAGGAAATATCTTCGTATAAAAACAACACAAACTCGTTCCCAGACACTGCGTAGTGATGTGTGTGTTTAACTCACAGAGTTTCACCTTTCTTTTCATACAGCATTCTGGAAACCCTCTGTTTGTAAAGTCTGCAAGTGGATATTTGGACCTCTTAGATGCCTTCGTTGGAAACGGGATTTCTTCATATAATGCTAGAGGGAAGAATTCTTAGTAACTTCTTTGTGTTGTGTGTATTCAACTGACAGAGTTGAACCTTCCTTTAGACAGAGCAGATTTGAAAGTCTCTTTTTGTGGAATTTGCAAGTGGAGATTTCAAGCGCTTTGAGGCCAAAAGCAGAAAAGGAAATATTTTCCTATAAAAACTAGACAGAATCTTTCTCAGAAACTGCTCTGGGATGTGTGCGTTCAACTCACAGAGTTTAACTTTTCTTTTCATTCAGCGTTTGGAAACACTCTGTTTGGAAAGTCTGCCTTGGATATTTTGACCTCTTTGAGGCCTTCGTTGGAAACGGGTTTTTTTCATGTAAGGCTAGACAGAAGAAATCTCAGTAACTTCCTTGTGTTGTGTATTCAACTGACAGAGTTGAACCTTCCTTTAGACAGAGCAGATTCGAAACACTCTTTTTCTGCAATTTGCAAGTGGAGACTTCAAGCGCTTTGAGGCCAAAGGCAGAAAAGGAAATATCTTCGTATAAGAACCCGACAGAATCATTCTCAGAAACTGCTCTGTGATGTGTGCGTTCAACTCACAGAGTTTAACTTTTCTTTTCATTCAGCAGTTTGGAAACACTCTGTTTGTAAAGTCTGCAAGTGGATATCTTGGCCTCTTAGAGGCCTTCGTTGGAAACGGGTTTTTTCATGTAAGGTTAGACAGAGGAATTCCCAGTAACTTCCTTGTGTTGTGTGCATTCAACTCACAGAGTTGAATGATTCTTTACACAGAGCAGATTTGAGACACTCTTTTGGTGGAATTTGTAAGTGGAGAATTCAGCCGCTTTGAGGTCAACGGTAGAAAAGGAAATATCTTCGTATAAAAACTAGACAGAATGATTCTCAGAAACTGTTTTGTGATGTGTGCGTTCAACTCACAGAGTTTAACCTTTCTTTTCAAAGAGCAGTTAGGAAACACTCTGTTTGTAAAGTCTGCAAGTGGATATTCAGACCTCTTTGAGGCCTTCGTTGGAAACGGGATTTCTTCATATTATGCTAGACAGATGAATTCTCAGTAACTTCCTAGTGTTGTGTGTATTCAACTCACAGAGTTGAACGATCCTTTACACAGAGCAGATTTGAAACACTGTTTTTCTGGGATTTGCAAGTGGAGATTTCAGCTGCTTTGAGGTCAATGGTAGAAAAGGAAATATCTTCGTATAAAAACCAGACAGAATGATTCTCAGAAACTCCTTTGTGATGTGTGCGTTCAACTCACAGAGTTTAACCTTTCTTTTCACAGAGCAGTTAGGAAACACTCTGTTTGTGAAGCCTGCCAGTGGATATTCGGACCTCTTTGAGGCCTTCGTTGGAAACGGGATTTCTTCATATTATGCTAGACAGAAGATTTCTCAGTAACTTCTTTGTGTTGTGTGTATGCAACTCACAGAGTTCAACCTTCCTTTAGACAGAGCAGATTTGAAACACTCTTTTTGTGGAATTTGCAAGTGGAGATTTCAAGCGCTTCGATGCCAATGGTAGAAAAGGAAATATCTTCGTATAAAAACAAGACAAAACTCGTTCCCAGACACTGCGTAGTGATGTGTGTGTTTAACTCACAGAGTTTAACCTTTCTTTTCATACAGCATTCTGGAAACCCTGTGTTTGTAAAGTCTGCAAGTGGATATTTGGACCTCTTAGATGCCTTCGTTGGAAACGGGATTTCTTCATATAATGCTAGAGGGAAGAATTCTTAGTAACTTCTTTGTGTTGTGTGTATTCAACTGACAGAGTTGAACCTTCCTTTAGACAGAGCAGATTTGAAAGTCTCTTTTTGTGGAATTTGCAAGTGGAGATTTCAAGCGCTTTGAGGCCAAAAGCAGAAAAGGAAATATTTTCCTATAAAAACTAGACAGAATCTTTCTCAGAAACTGCTCTGGGATGTGTGCGTTCAACTCACAGAGTTTAACTTTTCTTTTCATTCAGCAGTTTGGAAACACTCTGTTTGGAAAGTCTGCACGTGGATATTTTGACCTCTTTGAGGCCTTCGTTGGAAACGGGTTTTTTTCATGTAAGGCTAGACAGAAGAAATCTCAGTAACTTCCTTGTGTTGTGTGTATTCAACTGACAGAGTTGAACCTTCCTTTAGACAGAGCAGATTCGAAACACTCTTTTTCTGCAATTTGCAAGTGGAGACTTCAAGCGCTTTGAGGCCAAAGGCAGAAAAGGAAATATCTTCGTATAAAAACCCGACAGAATCATTCTCAGGAAACTGCTCTGTGATGTGTGCGTTCAACTCACAGAGTTTAACTTTTCTTTTCATTCAGCAGTTTGGAAACACTCTGTTTGTAAAGTCTGCAAGTGGATATCTTGGCCTCTTAGAGGCCTTCGTTGGAAGCGGGTTTTTTCATGTAAGGTTAGACAGAGGAATTCCCAGTAACTTCCTTGTGTTGTGTGCATTCAACTCACAGAGTTGAATGATTCTTTACACAGAGCAGATTTGAGACACTCTTTTGGTGGAATTTGTAAGTGGAGAATTCAGCCGCTTTGAGGTCAACGGTAGAAAAGGAAATATCTTCGTATAAAAACTAGACAGAATGATTCTCAGAAACTGTTTTGTGATGTGTGCATTCAACTCACAGAGTTTAACCTTTCTTTTCAAAGAGCAGTTAGGAAACACTCTGTTTGTAAAGTCTGCAAGTGGATATTCAGACCTCTTTGAGGCCTTCGTTGGAAACGGGATTTCTTCATATTATGCTAGACAGATGAATTCTCAGTAACTTCCTTGTGTTGTGTGTATTCAACTCACAGAGTTGAACGATCCTTTACACAGAGCAGATTTGAAACACTGTTTTTCTGGAATTTGCAAGTGGAGATTTCAGCCGCTTTGAGGTCAATGGTAGAAAAGGAAATATCTTCGTATAAAAACTAGACAGAATGATTCTCAGAAACTCCTTTGTGATGTGTGCGTTCAACTCACAGAGTTTAACCTTTCTTTTCACAGAGCAGTTAGGAAACACTCTGTTTGTGAAGCCTGCCAGTGGATATTCAGACCTCTTTGAGGCCTTCGTTGGAAACGGGATTTCTTCATATTATGCTAGACAGAAGATTTCTCAGTAACTTCTTTGTGTTGTGTGTATGCAACTCACAGAGTTCAACCTTCCTTTAGACAGAGCAGATTTGAAACACTCTTTTTGTGGAATTTGCAAGTGGAGATTTCAAGCGCTTCGATGCCAATGGTAGAAAAGGAAATATCTTCGTATAAAAACAAGACAAACTCGTTCCCAGACACTGCGTAGTGATGTGTGTGTTTAACTCACAGAGTTTAACCTTTCTTTTCATACAGCATTCTGGAAACCCTGTGTTTGTAAAGTCTGCAAGTGGATATTTGGACCTCTTAGATGCCTTCGTTGGAAACGGGATTTCTTCATATAATGCTAGAGGGAAGAATTCTTAGTAACTTCTTTGTGTTGTGTGTATTCAACTGACAGAGTTGAACCTTCCTTTAGACAGAGCAGATTTGAAAGTCTCTTTTTGTGGAATTTGCAAGTGGAGATTTCAAGCGCTTTGAGGCCAAAAGCAGAAAAGGAAATATTTTCCTATAAAAACTCGACAGAATCTTTCTCAGAAACTGCTCTGGGATGTGTGCGTTCAACTCACAGAGTTTAACTTTTCTTTTCATTCAGCAGTTTGGAAACACTCTGTTTGGAAAGTCTGCACGTGGATATTTTGACCTCTTTGAGGCCTTCGTTGGAAACGGGTTTTTTTCATGTAAGGCTAGACAGAAGAAATCTCAGTAACTTCCTTGTGTTGTGTGTATTCAACTGACAGAGTTGAACCTTCCTTTAGACAGAGCAGATTCGAAACACTCTTTTTCTGCAATTTGCAAGTGGAGACTTCAAGCGCTTTGAGGCCAAAGGCAGAAAAGGAAATATCTTCGTATAAAAACCCGACAGAATCATTCTCAGAAACTGCTCTGTGATGTGTGCGTTCAACTCACAGAGTTTAACTTTTCTTTTCATTCAGCAGTTTGGAAACACTCTGTTTGTAAAGTCTGCAAGTGGATATCTTGGCCTCTTAGAGGCCTTCGTTGGAAACGGGTTTTTTCATGTAAGGTTAGACAGAGGAATTCCCAGTAACTTCCTTGTGTTGTGTGCATTCAACTCACAGAGTTGAATGATTCTTTACACAGAGCAGATTTGAGACACTCTTTTGGTGGAATTTGTAAGTGGAGAATTCAGCTGCTTTGAGGTCAACGGTAGAAAAGGAAATATCTTCGTATAAAAACTAGACAGAATGATTCTCAGAAACTGTTTTGTGATGTGTGCGTTCAACTCACAGAGTTTAACCTTTCTTTTCAAAGAGCAGTTAGGAAACACTCTGTTTGTAAAGTCTGCAAGTGGATATTCAGACCTCTTTGAGGCCTTCGTTGGAAACGGGATTTCTTCATATTATGCTAGACAGATGAATTCTCAGTAACTTCCTTGTGTTGTGTGTATTCAACTCACAGAGTTGAACGATCCTTTACACAGAGCAGATTTGAAACACTGTTTTTCTGGAATTTGCAAGTGGAGATTTCAGCCGATTTGAGGTCAATGGTTGAAAAGGAAATATCTTCGTATAAAAACTAGACAGAATGATTCTCAGAAACTCCTTTGTGATGTGTGCGTTCAACTCACAGAGTTTAACCTTTCTTTTCACAGAGCAGTTAGGAAACACTCTGTTTGTGGAGCCTGCCAGTGGATATTCGGACCTCTTTGAGGCCTTCGTTGGAAACGGGATTTCTTCATATTATGCTAGACAGAAGATTTCTCAGTAACTTCTTTGTGTTGTGTGTATGCAACTCACAGAGTTCAACCTTCCTTTAGACAGAGCAGATTTGAAACACTCTTTTTGTGGAATTTGCAAGTGGAGATTTCAAGCGCTTCGATGCCAATGGTAGAAAAGGAAATATCTTCGTAGAAAAACAAGACAAACTCGTTCCCAGACACTGCGTAGTGATGTGTGTGTTTAACTCACAGAGTTTAACCTTTCTTTTCATACAGCATTCTGGAAACCCTGTGTTTGTAAAGTCTGCAAGTGGATATTTGGACCTCTTAGATGCCTTCGTTGGAAACGGGATTTCTTCATATAATGCTAGAGGGAAGAATTCTTAGTAACTTCTTTGTGTTGTGTGTATTCAACTGACAGAGTTGAACCTTCCTTTAGACAGAGCAGATTTGAAAGTCTCTTTTTGTGGAATTTGCAAGTGGAGATTTCAAGCGCTTTGAGGCCAAAAGCAGAAAAGGAAATATTTTCCTATAAAAACTCGACAGAATCTTTCTCAGAAACTGCTCTGGGATGTGTGCGTTCAACTCACAGAGTTTAACTTTTCTTTTCATTCAGCAGTTTGGAAACACTCTGTTTGGAAAGTCTGCACGTGGATATTTTGACCTCTTTGAGGCCTTCGTTGGAAACGGGTTTTTTTCATGTAAGGCTAGACAGAAGAAATCTCAGTAACTTCCTTGTGTTGTGTGTATTCAACTGACAGAGTTGAACCTTCCTTTAGACAGAGCAGATTCGAAACACTCTTTTTCTGCAATTTGCAAGTGGAGACTTCAAGCGCTTTGAGGCCAAAGGCAGAAAAGGAAATATCTTCGTATAAAAACCCGACAGAATCATTCTCAGAAACTGCTCTGTGATGTGTGCGTTCAACTCACAGAGTTTAACTTTTCTTTTCATTCAGCAGTTTGGAAACACTCTGTTTGTAAAGTCTGCAAGTGGATATCTTGGCCTCTTAGAGGCCTTCGTTGGAAACGGGTTTTTTCATGTAAGGTTAGACAGAGGAATTCCCAGTAACTTCCTTGTGTTGTGTGCATTCAACTCACAGAGTTGAATGATTCTTTACACAGAGCAGATTTGAGACACTCTTTGGGTGGAATTTGTAAGTGGAGAATTCAGCCGCTTTGAGGTCAACGGTAGAAAAGGAAATATCTTCGTATAAAAACTAGACAGAATGATTCTCAGAAACTGTTTTGTGATGTGTGCGTTCAACTCACAGAGTTTAACCTTTCTTTTCAAAGAGCAGTTAGGAAACACTCTGTAAAGTCTGCAAGTGGATATTCAGACCTCTTTGAGGCCTTCTTTGGAAACGGGATTTCTTCATATAATGCTAGAGGGAAGAATTCTTAGTAACTTCTTTGTGTTGTGTGTATTGAACTGACAGAGTTGAACCTTCCTTTAGACAGAGCAGATTTGAAAGTCTCTTTTTGTGGAATTTGCAAGTGGAGATTTCAAGCACTTTGAGGCCAAAAGCAGAAAAGGAAATATTTTCCTATAAAAACTAGAGAGAATCATTCTCAGAAACTGCTCTGTGATGTGTGTGTTCAACTCACAGAGTTTAACTTTCTTTTCATTCAGCAGTTTGGAAACACTCTGTTTGGAAAGTCTGCACGTGGATATTTTGACCTCTTTGAGGCCTTCGTTGGAAACGGGTTTTTTTCATGTAAGGCTAGACAGAAGAAATCTCAGTAACTTCCCTTGTGTTGTGTGTATTCAACTGACAGAGTTGAACCTTCCTTTAGACAGAGCAGATTCGAAACGCTCTTTTTCTGCAATTTGCAAGTGGAGACTTCAAGCGCTTTGAGGCCAAAGGCAGAAAAGGAAATATCTTCGTATAAAAACCCGACAGAATCATTCTCAGAAACTGCTCTGTGATGTGTGCGTTCAACTCACAGAGTTTAACTTTTCTTTTCATTCAGCAGTTTGGAAACACTCTGTTTGTAAAGTCTGCAAGTGGATATCTTGGCCTCTTAGAGGCCTTCGTTGGAAACGGGTTTTTTCATGTAAGGTTAGACAGAGGAATTCCCAGTAACTTCCTTGTGTTGTGTGCATTCAACTCACAGAGTTGAATGATTCTTTACACAGAGCAGATTTGAGACACTCTTTTGGTGGAATTTGTAAGTGGAGAATTCAGCCACTTTGAGGTCAACGGTAGAAAAGGAAATATCTTCGTATAAAAACTAGAAAGAATGATTCTCAGAAACTGTTTTGTGATGTGTGCGTTCAACTCACAGAGTTTAACCTTTCTTTTCAAAGAGCAGTTAGGAAACACTCTGTTTGTAAAGTCTGCAAGTGGATATTCAGACCTCTTTGAGGCCTTCGTTGGAAACGGGATTTCTTCATATTATGCTAGACAGATGAATTCTCAGTAACTTCCTTGTGTTGTGTGTATTCAACTCACAGAGTTGAACGATCCTTTACACAGAGCAGATTTGAAACACTGTTTTTCTGGAATTTGCAAGTGGAGATTTCAGCCGCTTTGAGGTCAATGGTAGAAAAGGAAATATCTTCGTATAAAAACTGGACAGAATGATTCTCAGAAACTCCTTTGTGATGTGTGCGTTCAACTCACAGAGTTTAACCTTTCTTTTCACAGAGCAGTTAGGAAACACTCTGTTTGTGAAGCCTGCCAGTGGATATTCGGACCTCTTTGAGGCCTTCGTTGGAAACGGGATTTCTTCATATTTTGCAAGACAGAAGATTTCTCAGTAACTTCTTTGTGTTGTGTGTATGCAACTCACAGAGTTCAACCTTCCGTTAGACAGAGCAGATTTGAAACACTCTTTTTGTGGAATTTGCAAGTGGAAATTTCAAGCGCATCGATGCCAATGGTAGAAAAGGAAATATCTTCGTATAAAAACAAGACAAATCCCTCTACCATTATATGACGAAATCCCGTTTCCAACGAAGGCATCTAAGAGGTCCAAATATCCACTTGCAGACTTTACAAACAGAGGGTTTCCAGAATGCTGTATGTAAAGAAAGGTTTAACTCTGTGAGCAACTCCAAGACACATAATTGTCAGATTCACCAAGGTTGAAATGAAGGAAAAAATGTTAAGGGCAGCCAGAGAGAAAGGTCGGGTTACCCTCAAAGGGAAGCCCATCAGACTAACAGCGGATCTCTCGGCAGAAACCCTACAAGCCAGAAGAGAGTGGGGGCCAATATTCAACATTCTTAAAGGAAAGAATTTTCAACCCAGAATTTCATATCCAGCCAAACTAAGCTTCATAAGTGAAGGAGAAATAAAATACTTTATAGACAAGCAAATGCTGAGAGATTTTGTCACCACCAGGCCTGCCCTAAAAGAGCTCCTGAAGGAAGCGCTTAACATGGGAAAGGAACAACCGGTACCAGCCGCTGCAAAATCATGCCCAAATGTAAAGACCATCGAGACTAGGGAAGAAACTGCTTCAACTAATGAGCAAAATCACCAGCTAACATCTTATGACAGGATCAAATTCACACTTAACAATATTAACTTTAAATATAAATGGGCTAAATTC
>NC_000016.10:38265769-38269096 GCF_000001405.40 Homo sapiens
AATCTCCACAAGCAAATTCCACAAAAAGACTGTTTCAAATCTGCTCTGTCTAAAGGAAGGTTGAACTCTGTGAGTTGCATACACACAACAAAAAGAAGTTACTCAGAAATCTTCTGTCTAGCATAATATGAAGAAATCCCGTTTCCAACGAAGGCTTTAAAGAGGTCCGAATATCCACTGGCAGAGTTCCCAAACAGAGTGTTTCCTAACTGCTCTATGAAAAGAAAGGTTAAACTCTGTGAGTTGAACGCACACATCACAAAGGAGTTTCTGAGAATCATTCTGTCTAGTTTTTATACGAAGATATTTCCTTTTCTACCATTGACCTCAAAGCTGCTGATTTCTCCACTTACAAATTCCACCAAAAGAGTGTCTCAAATCTGCTCTGTGTAAAGAATCATTCAACTCTGTGAGTTGAATGCACACAACACAAAGAAGTTACTGGGAATTCCTCTGTCTAACCTTACATGAGAAAAAAACCGTTTCCAACGAAGGCCTCAAAGAGGCCAATATATCCACTTGCAGACTTTACAAACAGAGTGTTTCCAAACTGCTGAATGAAAAGAAAAGTTAAACTCTGTGAGTTGAACGCACACATCACAGAGCAGTTTCTGAGAATGATTCTGTCTGTTTTTTATACGAAGATATTTCCTTTTCTGCCTTTGGCCTCAAAGCGCTTGAAGTCTCCACTTGCAAATTGCAGAAAAAGAGTGTTTCGAATCTGCTCTGTCTAAATGAAGGTTCAACTCTGTCAGTTGAATACACACAAGACCAGGAATTTACTGAGATTTCTTTTGTCTAGCAATACATGAAAAAAACCCGTTTCCTACGAAGGCCTCTAAGAGGTCAAAATATCCACGTACAGACTTTACAAACAGAGTGTTTCCAAACTGCTGAATGAAAAGAAATGTTAAACTCTGTGAATTGAACGCACACATCACAGAGCAGTTTCTGAGAATGATTCTGTCTAGTTTTTATAGGAAAATATTTCCTTTTCTGCTTTTGGCCTCAAAGCGCTTGAAATCTCCACTTGCAAATTCCACAAAAAGAGAGTTTCAAATCTACTCTTTCTAAAGGAAGTTTCAACTCCGTCAGTTGAAAACACACAACACAAAGAAGTTACTAAGAATTCTTCCCTCTAGCATTATATGAAGAAATCCCGTTTCCAACGAAGGCATCTAAGAGGTCCAAATATCCACTTGCAGACTTTACAAACAGAGGGTTTCCAGAATGCTGTATGAAAAGAAAGGTTAAACTCTGTGAGTTAAACACACACATCACTACGCAGTGTCTGGGAACGAGTTTGTCTTGTTTTTATACGAAGATATTTCCTTTTCTACCATTGGCATCGAAGCGCTTGAAATCTCCACTTGCAAATTCCACAAAAAGAGTGTTTCAAATCTGCTCTCTCTAAAGGAAGGTTGAACTCTGTGAGTTGCATACACACAACACAAAGAAGTTACTGAGAAATCTTCTGTCTAGCATAATATGAAGAAATACCGTTTCCAACGAAGGTCTCAAAGAGGTCCGAATATCCACTGGCAGGCTTCACAAACAGAGTGTTTCGTAACTGCTCTATGAAAAGAAAGGTTAAACTCTGTGAGTTGAACGCACACATCACAAAACAGTTTCTGATAATCATTCCGTCTAGTTTTTATACGAAGATATTTCCTTTTCTACCATTGACCTCAAGTTGGCTGAAATCTCCATTTGCAAATTCCACAAAAAGAGTGTTTCAGATCTGCTCTGTGTAAAGGATGGTTCTACTCTATGAGTTGAATACACACAACACAAGGAAGTTACTGAGAATTCTTCTGTCTAGCATAAATTGAAGAAATCCCGTTTCCAACAAAGGCCTCAAAGAGGTCTGAATATCCAATTGCAGACTTTACAAACAGAGGGTTTCTTAACTGCTCTATGAAAAGAAAGGCTAAACTCTGTGAGTTGAACGGGCACATCACAAAGCAGTTTCTGAGAACCACTTTGGGTAGTTTTTATACGAAGATATTTCCTTTTCTACCATTGAGCTCAAAGCGACTGAAATCTCCACTTACAAATTCCACAAAATGAGTGTCTCAAATCTGCTCTGTGTAAAGGATCGTTCAACTCTGTGAGTTGAATACACACAACACAAGGAAGTTACTGAGAATTCTTCTGTCTAGTATTATAGGAAGAAATCCCGTTTCCAACGAAGTCCACAAAAAGGTCAGAATATCCACTTGCAGACTTGACAAACAGAGCGCTTACAGACGGCTCTATGAAAAGAAAGGTTAAACTCTGTGAGTTTAACGCACACATCACAACGCAGTTTGTGTGAATGATTCTGTCTAGTTTTGAAACGAAGATATTTCCTTTTCTGCCATTGACCCTAAAGCGCTTGAAATCTCCACTTGCAAATTGCACAAAAAGAGTGTTTCAAATCTGCTCTTTCTAAAGGAACGTTCAACTCTGTGAGTTGAATGCACACAACACAAAGAAGTTACTGGGAATTCTTCTGTCTAGCCTTACATGGAAAAAGCCCGTATCCAATGAAGGACTCAAAGAGGTCAATATATCCACTTGCAGACTTTACAAGCAGAGTGTTTCCAAACTGCTGAATGAAAAGAAAAGTTAAACTCTGTGAGTTGAACGCACACATCACAGAGCAGTTTCTGAGAATGATTCTGTCTGGATTTTATACGAAGATATTTCCTTTTCTGCCTTTGGCCTCAAAGGCTCTTGAAGTCTCCACTTGCAAATTGCAGAAAAAGAGTGTTTCGAATCTGCTCTGTCTAAAGGAAGGTTCAACCCTGGCAGTTGAATACACACAACACAAGGAAGTTACTGAGATTTCTTCTGTCTAGCCTTACATGAAAAAAACCCATTTCCAATGAAGGCCTCAAAGAGGTCAGAATATCCACGTGCAGACTTTACAAACAGAGTGTTTCGAAACTGCTGAATGAAAAGAAAAGTTAAACTCTGTGAGATAAACGCACACTTCACAGAGCAGTTTCTGAGAATGATTCTGTCTAGTTTTTATAGGAAAATATTTCCTTTTCTGCTTTTGGCCTCAAAGCGCTTGAATTCTCCACTTGCAAATTCCACAAAAAGAGACTTTCAAATCTGCTCTGTCTAAAGGAAGTTCAAATCTGTCAGTTGAATACACACAACACAAAGAAGTTACTAAGAATTCTTCTCTCTAGCATTATATGAAAAAATCCCGTTTCCAACGAAGGCATCTAAGAGGTCCAAATATCCACTTGCAGACTTTACAAACAGAGGGTTTCCAGAATGCTGTGTGAAAAGAAAGGTTAAAGTCTGTGAGTTAAACACACACATCACTACGCA
>NC_000016.10:38275758-38280682 GCF_000001405.40 Homo sapiens
ACGGCATCTAAGAGCTCCAAATATCCACTTGTAGACTTTCCAAACAGAGAGTTTCCAGAATGCTGTATGAAAAGAAAGGTTAATCTCTGTGAGTTAAACACATACATCACTACGCAGTTTCTGGGAATGATTTTGTCTTGTTTTTATACGAAGATATTTCCTTTTCTACCATTGGCATCGAAGCGCTTGAAATCTCCACTTGCAAATTCCACAAAAAGAGTGTTTCAAATCTGCTCTGTCTAAAGGAAGGTTGAACTCTGTGAGTTGCATACAGACAACACAAAGTAGTTACTGAGAAATCTTCTGTCTAGCATAATATGAAGAAATCCCATTTCCAACGAAGGCCTCAAAAAGGTCCGAATATCCACTGGCAGACTTCACAAACAGAGTGTTTCCTAACTGCTCTATGAAAAGAAAGGTTAAACTCTGTGAGTTGAACGCACACATCACAAAGGAGTTTCTGAGAATCATTCTGTCTAGTTTTTATACGAAGATATTTCCTTTTCTACCATTGACCTCAAAGCGGCTGAAATCTCCACTTGCAAATTCCAGAAAAAGAGTGTTTCAAATCTGCTCTGTGTAAAGGATCGTTCAACTCTGTGAGTTGAATACACACAACACAAGGAAGTTACTGAGAATTCTTCTGTCTAGCATAATATGAAGAAATCCCGTTTCCAACGAAGGCCTCAGAGAGGTCTGAATATCCACTTGCAGACATTACAAACAGAGTGTTTCCTAACTGCTCTTTGAAAAGAAAGGTTAAACTTTGTGAGTTGAACGCACACATCACAGAGCAGTTTCTGAGAATCATTCTGTCTATTTTTTATACGAAGATATTTCCTTTTCTACCATTGACCTCAAAGCGGCTGAATTCTCCACTTACAAATTCCACCAAAAGAGTGTCTCAAATCTGCTCTGTGTAAAGAATCATTCAACTCTGTGAGTTGAATGCACACAACACAAGGAAGTTACTGGGAATTCCTCTGTCTAACCTTACATGAAAAAACCCGTTTCCAACGAAGGCCTCTAAGATGCCAATATATCCACTTGCAGACTTTAAAAACAGAGTGTTTCAAAACTGCTGAATGAAAAGAAAAGTTAAACTCTGTGAGTTGAACGCACACATCACAGAGCAGTTTATGAGAATGATTCTGTCTGGTTTTTATACGAAGATATTTCCTTTTCTGCCTTTGGCCTCAAAGCGCTTGAAGTCTCCACTTGCAAATTGCAGAAAAAGTGTGTTTTGAATCTCCTCTGTCTTAAGGAAGGTTCAACTCTGTCAGTTGAATACCCACAACACAAGGAAGTTACTGAGATTTCTTCTGTCTAGACTTACATGAAAAAAACCCGTTTCCAACGAAGGCCTCAAAGAGGTCAAAATATCCACTTGCAGACTTTACAAACAGAGTGTTTCCAAACTGCTGAATGAAAAGTTAAATTCTGTGAGTTGAACGCACACATCACAGAGCAGTTTTGAGAATGATTCTGTCTAGTTTTTATAGGAAAATATTTCCTTTTCTGCCTTTGGCCTGAAAGCGCTTGAAATCTCCAGTTGCAAATTCCACAAAAAGAGTGTCTCACATCTGCTCTGTGTAAAAGATGGTTCAAATCTGTGAGTTGAATAGACACAACAGAAGGAACTTACGGAGAATTCTTCTGTCTAGTATTATAGGACGAAATCCTGTTTCTAACGAAGTCCTCAAAGAGGTCAGAATATCCACTTGCAGACTTGACAAACAGAGCGCTTACAAACGGCTCTACGAAAAGAAAGGTTAAACTCTGTGAGTTGAACTCACACATCACAACGCAGTTTGTGGGAATGATACTGTCTAGTTTTGAAACGAAGTTATTTCCTTTTCTGCCATTGACCTTAAAGCGCTTGAAATCTCCACTTACAAATTGCACAAAAAGAGTGTTTAAAATCTGCTCTGTCTAAAGGAACGTTCAACTCTGTGAGTTGAATGCACACAACACAAAGAAGTTACTGGGAATTCTTCTGTCTAGCCTTACATGGAAAAAAAACCTTTTCCAACGAAGGCCGCAAAGAGGTCAATATATCCACTTGCAGACTTTAGAAACAGAGCGTTTCCAAACTGCTGAATGAAAAGAAAAGTTAAACTCTGTGAGTTGAACGCACACATCACAGAGCAGTTTCTGAGAATGATTCTGTCTGGTTTTTATACGAAGATATTTCCTTTTCTGCCTGTGGCCTCAAAGCGCTTGAAGTCTCCACTTGCAAATTGCACAAAAAGAGTGTTTCAAATCTGCTCTGTCTAAAGGAACGTTCAACTCTGTGAGTTGAATGCACACAACACAAAGAAGTTACTGGGAATTCTTCTGTCTAGCCTTACATGAAAAAAACCCGTTTCCAACGAAGGCCTCAAAGAGGTCAATATATCCACTTGCAGACTATACAAACAGAGCGTATCCAAACTGCTGAATGAAAAGAAAAGTTAAACTCTGTGAGTTGAACGCACACATCACAGAGCAGTTTTGAGAATGATTCTGTCTAGTTTTTATAGGAAAATATTTCATTTTCTGCCTTTGGCCTCAAAGCGCTTGAAATCTCCACTTGCAAATTCCAGAAAAAGAGTGTTTCAAATCTGCTCTGTCTAAAGGAAGGTTCAACTCTGTCAGTTGAATACACACAACACAAAGAAGTTACTAAGAATTCTTCCCTCTAGCATTATATGGAGAAATCCCGTTTCCAAAGAAGACATCTAAGAGGTCCAGATATCCACTTGCAGACTTTACAAACAGAGTGTTTCCAGAATGCTGTATGAAAAGAAAGGTTAAACTCAGTGAGTTGAAAGCACACATCACGAAGGAGTTTCTGAGAATCATTCTGTCTAGGTTTTATACGAAGATATTTCCTTTTCTACCATTGACCTCAAGGTGGCTGAAATCTCCACTTGCAAATTCCACAAAAAGAGTGTTTCATATCTGCTCTGTGTAAAAGATGGTTCAACTCTGTGAGTTGAATACACACAACACAAGGAAGTTACTGAGAATTCTTCTGTCTAGTATTATAGGACGAAATCCTGTTTCCAAAGAAGTCCTCAAAGAGGTCAGAATATCCACTTGCAGACTTGACAAACAGAGCGCTTACAAACGGCTCTATGAAAAGAAAGGTTAAACACTGTGAGTTGAACGCACACATCACAACGCAGTTTCTGGGAATGATACTGTCTAGTTTTGAAACGAAGTTATTTCCTTTTCTGCCATTGACCTTAAAGCGCTTGAAATCTCCACTTGCAAATTGCACAAAAAGAGTGTTTCAAATCTGCTCTGTCTAAAGGAACGTTCAACTCTGTGAGTTGAATGCACACAACACAAAGAAGTTACCGGGAATTCTTCTGTCTAGCCTTACATGAAAAAAAACCGTTTCCAACGAAGGCCTCTAAGAGGCCAATATATCCACTTGCAGACTTTACAAACAGAGTGTTTCCAAACTGCTGAATGAAAAGAAAAGTTAAACTCTGTGAGTTGAACGCACACATCACAGAGCAGTTTCTGAGAATGATTCTGTCTAGTTTTTATAGGAAAATATTTCCTTTTCTGCTTTTGGCCTCAAAGCGCTTGAAGTCTCCACTTGCAAATTGCACAAAAAGAGTGTTTCAAATCTGCTCTGTCTAAAGGAACGTTCAACTCTGTGAGTTTCATACACACAACACAAAGAAGTTACTGAGAAATCTTCTGTCTAGCATAATATGAAGAAATCCCGTTTCCAACGAAGGCCTCAAAGAGGTCCGAATATCCACTGGCAGATTTCACAAACAGAGTGTTTCGTAACTGCTCTATGAAAAGAAAGGTTAAACTCTGTGAGTTGAAAGCACACATCACAAAACAGTTTCTGAGAATCATTCTGTCTAGTTTTTATACGAAGATATTTCCTTTTCTACTGTTGACTTCAAAGCAGCTGAATTCTCCACTTACAAATTCCACGAAAAGAGTGTCTCAAATCTGCTCTGTGTAAAGAATCATTCAACTCTGTGAGTTGAATGCACACAACACAAGGAAGTTACTGGGAATTCCTCTGTCTAACCTTACATGAAAAAAACCCGTTTCCAACGAAGTCCTCTAAGAGGGCAATATATCCACTTGCAGACCATACAAACAGGGTGTTTCCAAACTGCTGAATGAAATGAAAAGTTAAACTCTGTGAGTTGAACGCACACATCACAGAGCAGTTTCTGAGAATGATTCTGTCGGGTTTTTATACGAAGATATTTCCTTTTCTGCCTTTGACCTCAAGGCGCTTGATGTCTCCACTTGCAAATTGCACAAAAAGAGTGTTTCGAATCTGCTCTGTCTAAAGGAAGGTTCAACTCTGTCAGTTGAATACCCACAACACAAGGAAGTTACTGAGATTTCTTCTGTCTAGCCTTACATGAAAAAAACCCGTTTCCAACGAAGGCCTCAAAGAGGTCAAAATATCCACTTAGAGACTTTACAAACAGAGTGTTTCCAAACTGCTGAATGAAAAGTTAAACTCTGTGAGTTGAACGCACACATCACAGAGCAGTTTTGAGAATGATTCTGTCTAGTTTTTATAGGAAAATATTTCCTTTTCTGCCTTTGGCCTCAAAGCGCTTGAAATCTCCACTTGCAAATTCCACAAAAAGAGTGTTTCAAATCTGCTCTGTCTAAAGGAAGGTTCAACTCTGTCAGTTGAATACACACAACACAAAGAAGTTACTAAGAATTCTTCCCTCTAGCATTATATGGAGAAATCCCCATTTCCAACGAAGGTATCTAAGAGGTCCAGATATCCACTTGCAGACTTTACAAACAGAGTGTTTCCAGAATGCTGTATGAAAAGAATGGTTGAACTCAGTGAGTTGAACGCACACATCACAAAGGAGTTTCTGAGAATCATTCTGTCTAGTTTTTATACGAAGATATTCCTTTTTCTACCGTTGAC